>NC_000011.10:30666060-30817575 GCF_000001405.40 Homo sapiens | reverse complement strand
GGCAGGTAAGATGAAGGCTGACATTTCAAGAATATTCCTAATGAAATCAAACCTTTAATTTGGAAAAATAACTGTATAAAGTGATTTTAAGCATTGAGGCGATGTTAGGTGTGTCAGGATGAATACTCCTCTGTTCAAACTTCCTGACCCTCCTCCTCCCATAATTTTTTTTTTAACTTTCCTGTTCCTCCTCCTAAAATAGTCTCCAGGAAAAATGAGGGCATTGATCTATTTTAGAAAGCATGGCATTGTTCCATCATACTCCCATAAACTTATTTTTAATTATGAAAATCTTCTAGATCAATCTTGCTTTCCCTGTGGCTTTAGTAAGCTTTTTCTTCCAATGTTTCTGTGGAGATAGAATGAGCAGGTTCTCTGTCAGAAGCCAAGAGACCTTTTCTCCAAGCCAAACTATAATTAGCTCTGTGGCCTTCGACAAGTCACTTAATCTCCCAAGTAGGCTCTTCTTTTTCAAGCTAGGTCTTTGATTCTAGGTGTGGTTCAGTCAGACCCAAGAGTGAATCCTGGGGTCATCTTTGATGTTTCATTACCTCTTTATCAGCCCTCCCCACTCCTCAGACAGCCTATACAAATTTGTTAATTTTTCATTCACAATATTTTCTGTAGGCATTGCTTTTTTTTCTATCCCTAATTTTAGTTTAAGATCTTACCAAGTATCAAGTCATCATTTTGAGGGTCCTATCAGTGGGCCCTTGGTTAAGGAAGAGGAACAAAGAGACAGAGCCCAAATAACAAGTTAAGGGGTTGCCCTTGAGGCAGTGAAGGTGTGCAGGATTGACTTGAGAGAAAGAGTGACTGAATCTCAGGAGAGCCCCAGTTCAGCCCATAGTCTCAGTCCAACCCTGGCTCTGAGGTCCAGTGGATAATATATTGGAAGAAAGGAAAGGAAAAAGAGACAGAAAAGAGAAGTAAAGGTCAAAGCAGGGAAAGAAACAAAGTATTGCCAGGTCAGGGCTTAATACTCCTGATCCAAGAAAACCTCATAGCTCCCTAGGAGGTGTGGATGATTATCTCCTGTACGTCCTTGGCCCACAGCCACAGAACTCTCAAGTGACAGGCAGAATTTGAACTCAAGTCTTTAAACTCAGAGTTCTTTCTGAATGGTAGAAGAAGCCATGTGCTAAACCCTAGAAACTCTTCTCATCATTCTGGCACCCTGGGATTTTTTCCAATCTCCTTTTCGGATGGTGTCAAACCTTTGTTGGCTCAAGCTGACATATTTCCATCTTTCTTTCTTTTTTTTTTTCCTTTTCAAAAATATAGGTCTGTGATCCTAGCATGGAGAGAAAGGTTGTGTCTTTCCAAGTCCTAGTCAATCAGGTGTATTCATTGTATGCAGTTTTGTTTTATCACACCTTTTGCTTCCGATATTCCAGATTTAACCTTATAGTAATATGTGCTTCATGCTCTTAGACCAGACAGGTACATCTGATGAGCTCCACCTTGATTTTCAGATTGGAGCTAAATTAGGCATTAAAATGTGGTCACATACATAAGAGCACCTGCATTTAGTCATCTTCCCGTTTTCAAATGTGAGCCTAAAGTCTTGGCTCTTATCTGTATTTAAAACTGACATTGTTAAATGCATAAACACATCTGAATTATTTATATTTAGGCTTATACAGTCTCCAGCTGCAACCATATATTTCAATATCTTTAAATTCCACGTTGCCATCTGGACCAGATTGCTGCTAAATCAAATCAGATAAACGTTACCTTTCCAGTACCTCTGATTTATATCAACCATTCATTTCCAAAAGCACAGCCCTGTTAAATCCAATCTACTTTCAAAAAGCTTATGAAATTAGCTCAGTTTTGAGGATTTGATATTCTTTCTCTGAAGCTTCAGCGTTGAAAGGGCTATTTGGACAGATAGAAAAGCAGTATGGAACCAGCAGAGCTAGGCGCCTGAGATTCATTGATTATTGGGCAAATCTTCTGTGCCTGACTTCATCCAATTACTCAAGACTTTTCTCTAATCAAGTTATTGTGAGCCAGTTTATAGACCACAGACATAAAATATGCAGGTTTTAAAGTGTTAGGATGTTCTCTATAATTTAATTTGGCATCTCTCTGAGCTGGAGGAGAGTTTTAGCTGAATACTCAAAAGGTGGGTAGAGAGGTTGAACTTTCAGAATTATATTTTTGTAGTCTACTTTATACTGATTCTTTTCCTGGAGAGTATATACCAAACAAATTAGAGTCAATCACTTTTCGCTAGGATAGTCCAAGTCTGAGATCTTTATTGGTGAAAACAATAATGGCCTATAATTTCGTCAATGAACAGAGTTAACACCTCAGGTAAAGCATCAGCATGTATTGTATAGAAGGAAGGAAAGAAGGAAAGAAGGGAGGAAGGGAAGGAGGGAGGAATCCAAGCACAAAGGATCCTAAAACATCAGAGCAATAGTTAGGAGCCTGAATTATATGCATGTATTTCTTTTATTTATATACAGTCACCTATAGATATTACCTTTCTCCTTCTCTACCTATACAATTCCATGTCTGAACTTATTTAGCAAGTCTAATGACTGGAACATGAAATATTTTCCAAATGGCCCCACTGAATGGATCTGCAGTCCATCATTGTACATTTGGAATGATGTCATAAATGGTTACATTTTAATCCTTCCTGTATTTTCTAAATGGGAATAGGGAGGGGGGAACTTGGGAGAAAGTGGTTTGCATATGATATTCTAAGCCCGAATAACTGAATAAAATCCTAAATGTAGGAATGGAAAACCTGTTCTTTCTCAGTATGACTTAATGCTAATTTTTCTTGCACACACACAAAAGAAATATATCTCTCTTTAATGGTAAATTACCATTTATTATAAATGTGCCATATGAAGGAAGCCATAAGTCATTATTATTGACCTATTATGATTCATTCTGCTTTACCCTGAATTAAATAAAAATGTGCACTTTCGGATAATATACTTTTAGTTCAAGTGTTCTTTTACTGGACTCAAGCCTGCTAGATTTCCCAGTCACACAGCTTTGGGGCAAATGCTTGACTTGCAAAGTGGATACCTCATTGTAATCACTGGTTGTCCTTCATTCTGTCCTAAGCACAGGAGATGGTTTTTAATCTCTGAGTTAATAGTGTGTGAAATCAAAACTTTCATCTAAAGTAAAAGGGAAAGCAGAATCCCCAAGTATTTTGGTTTTGGGTGTAGTGCAGAATATAGAAGGAAAAGCCAAGAAAGAAACTCATTTAACTGAATGGAAAGTGAATATATTCAGAGAACTTGGGAGAAAGTTATTCTGAGGCATAGAGAAATTAAAACTTAGACTTCTTAGATGAAAGAAAAAACAAAAACACATCATAAGCCCCTTGAGAAAATAATAAACCTTACTCCAGGAGAGAAAAATAAATATAAATTGTATAGTGGAAAAGAGCAGAGAGGGAAGCCTTCTTGGTTAGTTGAAACAAAGGTTATTAAAAACATTCAAGATACTGGGCGCGGTGGCTCACACCTGTAATTCCAGCACTTTGGGAGGCTGAGGCACGCAGGTCACGAGGTCAGGAGATTGAGACCATCCTGGCTGTCACAGTGAAACCCCATCTCTACTAAAAATACAAAAAATTAGCTGGGCGTGCTGGTGGGCACCTGTAGTCTCAGCTACTCGGGAGGCTGAGGCAGGAGAATGGTGTGAACCCGGGAGGCAGAGCTTGCAGTGAGCAGAGATCGCACCACTGCACTCCAGCCTGGGTGACAGAGTGAGACTCTGTCTAAAAAAAAAATTCAAGAATAAATTTCATAGTAGTTATCTCTGGGGTAGTACAGATGGTTTTATTTTCATTTTCCATCTACATTGTAGATGGAATAGATATATCTGCAATTAATAAGTATTTGTCATTTAATTAAACATATATATATATATATAGAGAGAGAGAGAGAGAGAGAGAGAGAAACAGAGAGATAGGGAGGGAGGGAGGGAGGGAGAGAGAGAGAGAGAGAGAAAGAGAGGGGGACAGGGTCTCACTCTGTTGCCCAGGCTGGAGTACAGTGGTGTGATCATAGCTAGCTGCAGCCTTGAACTCCTGGGCTCAAGTGATCCTCCTGCCTTAGCCTCCCACAGTGCTGGAATTACAGGCATGAACTACTGTGTCCAGCCTCAAAAGATACATATTTTAAAGGTAGTGTTACTTTTCCTAAAAGGGTAAGTTCTGGTGACTCACATCCAACATACTAATATCCACTGAATTTTCAATGATGTAGAAGGTACCACACAAAAGTCTATTTTCTACTTATGGGAAGAAACAATTGACAATATGAACTTGTAATTGAGACAGCATTTCTGAGACGTGCTCCAAATGTACAGGGAATTAGTGTCAATGCTTCTATGTGTCCCTAGCTACAAACTCTTTGCTCCAAGGTCAGAATGCAAAGTGCAAAATATTTCAATGGTAAATGCAAGAACTGCAAGACCAAGTAGCAGCACATAGGAATAACATAGTTCTGGTGCAGGAGTTGTGATTGGTATGATGATATTTGTTGAGAAGGGAAGGAAAGAAGGAAGAAGGAAGAGAAAGGAAGGGAGGAAGGAAGGAAGGAAGGAAGGAAGGAAGGAAGGAAGGAAGGAAGCTGGTGCAACTATTCAAGAAGCATAAAATGACACTTGTAAATTTAAAGTAGGACCTCAAACTATGTTCAAGGAAAATTGATATCATATTGCCACTCCCAAGAACTAGCATCAAGTATTGCCAAGGAGGGTAAAATGTTTCTCAAAGAGAGAAACAGAGGGTAAATAAAGGGCAGAACAGAAAAATTATTATAAGTATAAAAGTGTGTGGGTGCCAATTAGTAATAAATATTGTAGGAATAAAAATAGCCCTCGGCATGAAGAAGGAAGGTTACTTGGTAATTAAGGAAATTGAGAGGCTTATTGGACATCTAAAATATCAGGAAGGAAGATAATGAAAGCGTAATTGCAGATAAAAATTATAAGAGTGTCAAAAATGACTGAGGAGCGCTGAAGTTGCAAATGAAATGGAAATATCAAAGCAGTGCAGATAACATGTTACTTGTGTCTTAATTGCTGTAGGTAAAAAGCAAAGGGAAGAAATGATGACAGCAGAAAGTGGAGCTCATATTTGTCTTTGAGAGCCACTCACAAGAAGGCAGATCTCAAAGTGACAGCCCTGGACACTTTGAAAAATAATTTATTCAAAGATATTCATTTTCAAGATAGTCAATTTCTAAAAATGTGGAGAGTCTGGATGTTCTTTTTTTTTTTCTCTCTCCCAGATGCTGTTAGGTTAAACTATATAAAATTACTGATTTTCCACAGTTATTGACCAGGCGGTTTCATACGGTTCATTTAATAGAGTGCTCAGGGTAGCCACTGCTTAACATTAAGATTAATCATTTGTGGAACATTTCTTGGATTCTTTATGCAGAACACAATCTTATAATTAAAGAAAAATAGTTTCTAGGCTGAATTAAATTTTCCTTTAGCATGTATTCATTTTTTCTGAACATGGATGTATATAGTCTGTGAACTCTTGAGAGGAGGCTTCGTGCCTTTTCTAATGCATAGCCCGAGTGCCCAGACACATAAAGTATTTATCGTCAAATCACTATGATAAACAAGACCCCAAATAAAGTTTTGCTGAGTTGTAAGGTGAAGTATTTCTTTTAACGGAAAAAAATAAAGTGAGCTCTGAAGTAGAAGCTGCCTTGTGCTCCCAAGACACATTCCTGGCTGCTAGTGGTGGACAGTGTTAACAGGCTTTCAACCACATTCTTCCTATATTGGAAGCTCCTTTACAATAAGTAAAATAAACCACCAATACAGAGTGTCAATAAATGAGTCTAATTCTGCTTGATGGATTTTATCAAATATTTACATTAAGGGGAACATTCCAACTTCCCTCAAGGGGTTATTCTAGAGACTAACAAGACAAGACAGTTATTTTCAGCAACAGCCAAATAATTGGTATTTGATAGAGTTGTCTGATTCACTGATAATTAAAATTATAAATGGGTCTTGTTTGGCCTGAGTGATTATGTTCATGCTCTGGTGGCTCTGCCCTTTAAGTACTGGGGCATGTAATTAGACCCCTCTTTGACCTTTGAATATCATGGTGACCACATCTAGACTGTGACATCCATGGCCTAGATAAGTGCTTAGAACCAGATGGTGTTTTCAGATAGAATTATCACAGGCTCCTATTACCATTCCTTGGCTTACCATAGACAACAGAGAAAATGACTTGGGGATGTTGCATCTTGGACACGTTATGCTACGTATCTCAGAACTTACTTTTATTCCCTGAAAAAGTTACTGACAGATGAGTCAAGACAAATTTGCCATAATTTCCCTTTTTCTCTTTCTTGAATTTTCTACTGTGTTCTATAAATAAACTTAAATTACAGTGTTGTAATATATATGTGTGTTCAGTTTGTGACTACCTGGATTCCTCTAGATACTATAGGTTGAACCACATGAAATTACCAATATTCAATTCCCACTCAAGTTGAATTCCCTGTATGTGTCTTGGTTTCGAATCATGGCATCATAGAACTTAATTCCTGGCAACAAGGGCATGTATATCTATTTCAATCCTGCATTTTACAGATGAAGAAGTCAAATTAGAAAGAGGCTAGAGGTTAAATGACATGCCAAAGAACACCCAGTTGATGAATGGGGTTCAGGACTAGAACTCAAATCTCTTGGCCCCAACTTTCTAGCTTTTCTTCCCCCTAAAGAGGACCTCTAGCTAGTAAGAGTGTTCTCCATTAAAATAACATAAGTTGAATAGTTCCTTCTACTGTAAATACCCCTCAGTACTATTTCAATACAATATTTTCAAACCACATTCTGTATAGCCCTAGGTTCCACGTTTGTTTGTTTTTTTCTTAGAGGTGTCACACAAGATTGTCTTGTGGTAGGACATAGAAATATGCTCCAAAACTTTAATATGAAAGAGCCTTATGGCACTAAGCAACTTGGATGGAAGGTGGTGGTTGAGTTGAGGAAGGAAGGGAGGAGAACCATCTTCTAACCAGAACAGTTCCACTTTCATCTCCTTTAAATATATGTTTGTGTTCTGCACAATATTACATATGGAAAAAATAAGTTTGGAGATCACAGAAACCCATCAAACTACACAAGCATCTAGGATATCTTATGTGAAAAAGTTTATCTAAATCCAAAATCTAACTAAAATAGCAGCGCAAGCTCTATGCAATAAATATTCTCCAGGCCTGAAACAAGCAGATGGAGTACTCATTGCCAATCAGCTTTTTATTTTTTTCCCAGTTTTTGCTAACTATAAATGTATTCTGATTTGCAACCACTGCTTAAGGGAGACATTGCGTCTTGCCACATTTCATTTGTAGAATTACTTTAACCAACAGTGCCTGACATTTACTTTAAACAAATAAAACCTATTTTTGTATCACATAGAATTTGAAATTTGGGCAACTTTCTTTACTCCTAGATATGTTACTACCACCCATTCTCCTGGAAAAGCATCTCTGGGTAGATTTTTAAATAATCATCAGACTATATGCAAACTTAGCTGGTCAGAAGCCAGACATAGTTTGATCACCATGAGCCACACACAGAGATTCTGATTTTCACCAGGTATTCAAATGCAGGAATGAAGCTGGTATATTCATTGGTGTGGCACTTTATAAGCAATACCGACTTAGATGGTGAGTTGCTTGGGGTTTGTAATAAGAAATACCAAAGTTTGTACCCATTGCAAAAGTGACTGGGGGAAAGAAACAAACAAGGGCAGAAGCTCTGAATTAGATTATATAAAGTGAACTAAGTGGGCAATGCTGAAAGAAGAGAAAGCAGCTACCTCCCGCATGACATTTGCCAATGGTCTAACCAGCTCCAGTGCCACCTCTGTGTGAGTGAATAAACACCACCAATTAATGCAATTTGTTTTCTTGACATTATAACAGCTACATTTTGATACTGATGAAATTATAGTAGATCAGTATTTGAGGCATTAATTAAAATTTTGATGAGGTCAAGTTTTCCGTCACACAAACAGTCCAAAATAAAAATCATATTTTAAATACTGTGATAATGGGGTTACCAAGACCACATCTTAAATAATGATTGAGATTATTTCAAGATAATTTTATCTAAGTAGCAAAATTAAGTTATTTGAGTGAACGTTTTATTTCCTATTTTCTTCAGGTTTAATAATACTACAAATATTGAGTGATGCAAAAAAAAAAAAACCTGAAGAAGATGACTGAAGTAATAGCTGCCATTTATGAAATATTTAATTATATCCCAGGTACTGTGCTAGGCTCTTTACATGAATTAACTCATTTACTACTCACATAGCTCTCTAACGCAGGTACTTTTATCATTATTTTATGTTACAGGTAAAGACACTGAGACAAAGAAAGATATAGCAACCTGCCCAAGGTTTTACACATAGCAAGTGGCAGAAATGGGGTTTGATTCCTGACTCACCACACCCAAGAGCAGCACTGTCCAATAGAACTTTCGGCAACGATGAAAATTCTCTACCTGTTGTCGGATATGGTAGCCACTAGCCACATGGAGCTATTGGGCACTTGAAATGTGGCTAGTGCCACATTTATTATTAATTGAATTCAATTTACATTTAAATTGCCACTTAAATAGTGGCAATTTAATCACTGGACGGCACAGTTCTGGAGACTGTAAACTTGGCCTTTGTGCTTTGTTAAAGCTTCAGCTGCTTTTCTACAGTATTTTGTCTTTCCAAAACGGGAAGGGTCAGCTCTCAGTCATGTAGTGGTCTCTCTAGAACAGCTTCTTCAACCTTTGAGCATTACTGCTTCCCCCATCCACTAAGGAGCCTTTTAGACATTTTTTTTTTTTTAATGTTAACCTTGTGATGGTTAATTTTATGTGTCAACTTGACTGAGCCACAATGTGCCTAAACATTTGGTCAAATGTTATTCTGGGTGTTTCTATGAGGGTCTATTTGGATAAGATTAACATTTAAATCTGTAGACTAAGAAAAGCAGATTGTCTTCCCTAATGTGGGTGGCCTCATCCAATCGGTGAAGGCCTCAACTGAACAAAAAAGCTAACCCTACCCGCAGCAAGAGAGACGTCTCCTGCCTGAAGTCCTTTAAACTGGGACTTTGGCTCTTCCTGGTTCTACTGTAGGCTGTGGGCCTTCAAACTTGAACTGGGACAGCAGCTTTGTGAATTTGGGGCTTGCTACCCTCCATGATGAGCCAATCAATTCCTTATAATAAATGTCCCTCACTCTCTCTCTCCGTATGTGAGATATTTCGCATTCTTTTTCACACTAAAAGTCTTCAAAATACAGTATGTTATATTTATATAACATTTCAGCTCAAAGTGGTCACATTTCAAGTGCTCTATAGCCACATGTGGCTATTGGTTCTCATTGTATTGGATAACATAGTTCTAAAATGTTCATTCTCTTTGGGGATGATGTTGTACACAAAGGGTTAAAAGTTGAAATTGATTCTAGAGAATAAGGAAATCTTACTCACGTCATATATATGTTATATATATACTTTATATATAAAGCAAGTAAGATTATATACAGTGCATAAAAAGATATACATTTTATCTATGGCATTAAATTTTCATATATATGAAATATATATATTTAGATATGTAAATATATGAGATTTTGAAAACCAAGAAAAGTAAATTCTGTATATATACTCACATATATTTTATATTTATATGTGTGTCCTATTGGTTCTGTTTCTCTAGAGAACTCTTGACTAATAGGCTTGCCATGAAATTTTAATACCACAAACTCTATATATTTTTGTGTACCGTATGTACATCTGTGCTTTATACATAAAATGAGTAAGATTTCCATCCTCTAGACTCAATTTCAACTTTTGCTTGATTGTATACAACATTGCCCCCAATGAGAATGAACTTTAGAATTGTGCTGTTGAATATCGTGACAGCCAGTAGCCATGTGTGTCTACAGAGCACTTACCAATAATAGACAAGCAGAGAGCCAAATCATGAGTGAAGTCTCATTCACAATTGCTACAAAGAAAATAAAATACCCAGGATTACAACTTACAAGGGACATGAAGGACCTCTTCAAGGAGAACTACAAACCGCTGCTCAAGGAAATAAGAGAGGACACAAACAAATGGAAAAAAATTCCATGCTCATGAATAGGAAGAATCAATATTGTGAAAATGGCCATACTGCTTAAAGTAATTTATAGATTCAATACTATTCTCATCAAGCTACCATTGACTTTCTTCACAGAACTAGAACAAATTACTTTAAATTTCATATGGAACCAAAAAGAGCCTGTATAGCCAAGACAATCCTAAGCAAAAAGAAAAAAGCTGGAGGCATCACACTCCAACTTCAAAGTATACTACAAGGCTGCAGTAACCAAAACAGCATGGTACTGGACCAAAACAGATCCATAGACCACTGGAACAGAATGGAGGCCTCAGAAATAACACCACACATCTACAATTATCTGATCTTCAACAAACCTGACAAAAAACAAGCAATGGGGAAAGGATTCCCTATTTAATGAATGGTACTGGGAAAACTGGCTAGCTATATGCAGAAAACAGAAACTGGACCCCTTCCTTACACCTTATACAAAAATTAACTCAAAGTGGATTAGAGACTTAACACGTAAAACCTAAAACCATAAAACCCCTAGAAGAAAACCTACACAGTACCATTCAGGACATAGGCATGAGCAAAGACTTCATGACTAAAACACCAAAAGCAATGGCAACAAAAGCCAAAATTGACAAGTGGGATCTAATTAAACTAAAGAGCGTCTGCATAGCCAAAAGAAACCATCATCAGAGTGAAGAGGCAGACTATAGAATGGGAGAAAATTTTTGCAATCTATCCATCTGACAAAGGTCCAATATCCAGAATCTACAAGGAACTTAAACAAATTTCCAAAAAAAAAAAAACAACCCCATTAAAAAGTGGGTGAAGGATATGAACAGACACTTCTCAAAGGAAGACATTTATACGGCCAACAAACGTGTTAAAAAAAGCTCCTCATCACTGGTCATTAGAGAAATGCAAATCAAAACCATAATGAGATAACATCTCACACCAGTTAGAATGCTGATCATTAAAAAGTCTGGAAACAACAGATGATGGTGAGGATGTGGAGAAACAGGAATGCTTTTGTACTGTTGGTGGGAGTATAAATTAGTTCAACCATTGTGGAAGACAGTGTGGCAATTCCTCAAGGAACTAGAACCAGAAATACCATTTGACCCAGCAATCCCATTAGTGGGTATATACCCAAAAGATTATAAATCATTCTACTATAAAGACACATGCACACATATGTTTATTGCAGCAGCACTATTTACAATAGCAAAGACTTAGAACTAACCCAAATGCCCATCAATGATAGACTGGATAAAGAAAATGTGGCACTTATATACCACAGAATACTATGCAGCCATAAAAAAGAATGAGTTCATGTCCTTTGCAGGGACATGGATGAAGCTTGAAACTATCATCCTCGGCAAACTAACACAGGAACAGAAAACCAAACACTGTATGTTCTCACTCACAAGTGGGAGTTGAACAATGAGAACACATGGACACAATGAGGGGAACATCAGACACTGGGGCCTGTTGGGGGATGGGGGGCAAAGGGAGGGAGAGCACTAGGACAAATACTTAATGCATGTGGGGCTTAAAACCTTGATGAGTGTTGATAGGTGCTGCAAACCACCATGGCACATGTATACCTACGTAACAAACCTGCACGTTCAGCACATGTATCCCAGAACTTAAAGTAAGATAAATTTTTTTTAAAAAGTTATAGACAAGAAAAAAAAGTGGCTAGTTTGAACTGAAATATTATATAAATATAAAATACACACTAGATTTTGAACACTTAGTATGAAAAAGAATACAAAATATCTCAACATTTTTATATTAATTACATGTTGAAATGATAGTATTTTGGATGTATTGAGTTAAATTAAATATAGTATTAAAATTAATTTCACCTTTTTCATTTTGCTTTCGTAATGTGGTTACTAGAATATTTGTAAATACATATGCATCCTGCATTACATTTCCACTGGACAGAGCTGCTTTGGAGTGAGCTCCTCATATTTGGCCTGTCTGAGATACATAACCCTGTTACTCATAGTTGATAATAATTGTCAATAGTTGGCAATAATTCTTAATGGCTCTAGTATAGATATGACCTACTTTGTCCTACAGAATTTACTTCTTGGCTTTCTAAATATCTATGCTACCATAATTTAATAAAAAGAATCAGATGATTTTTGTCCCTCTTGATGGAGTCTATGATTTCTATTTATGTAGTTGGCTCTTAACACATTGCAGATAAGCTTCCCTGATAGTTTTTTAAATCACAAATATAAAACACAGTTAAAAAATCTCAGTAAACCAAGCCCAGGCAATTATTTATCTTAAGTATGTAATTCCGTTATCTGTTCTTCTATGAAAAATGAATTTTAAGGACTCCATTTCATTGGTTGTCAACTTTTATTTTAGATCAACCTCATTCTGCATTTTTTAATTGTTGCCATCTTTCTTACGTATTCCTTTCAGTTTCCCAGCATCTCATGTTTAGCAACACACCTGAGCATATGAAACAGAAAGAGAACAGTGAACTCTGAGCACCATCCATAACTTTCCACCAGGCAAATGGGTTTAAGATCAGACAGACCTGGATTTTGGTTCTGTATGATAGTAAACAAACAAACAGATGAACTAAGCATCTTCTATTATATTCTCAACAAAACATTACAAGACTGTTGACACCAGATTTGTGGGATTTTCCCCTTACACTGCAAGCAGTTCTCCAGTGGACACTAATGGGGTGTCCTACAATTTAACTCGATTCTGACAATACCTACCTGGAGTTGGAGTCAGATCTCACAAGGTGAGGACTCAGCACCGCAAGACTGCCCCTCGCTCCAGATGCTAATCACAAGTATGGGCCTCTAGAACTTCTGACTGATGGGCTATAAATTGGTGTTTTCTAGAACCCCCTCAGGTTTGCTTAATTAGCTGGAGTGGCTCATAGGATTCAGGGAAACACTTTATTTACACTTGCCATTTTATCATAAAGAATATTACTAAGGATACAGATTAACAGCCAGAGGGGGTGAGATACACAGGGCAAGGTATGGGGAAAGGGGCTCTTGAACCTCCATGCTCTTTCCAGGGCACCACCCTCCTAGCATCTCCACATGTTCAGCAACCTTGCATCTCTCTGAACCCCAGAATTCAGGGATTTTTATGGAAGCTTCATCACATAGGCAAGATTGATTATTAACAATCTCCAGCCCCTCTCTGCTTCCTGGAGGATAGGGGCTGAGGCTGAAAGTTCCAAGCTTCTAATCATGGCTTGGTCTTTCTGGTGACAAGCTCCAATCCAGTAGCCCATCAAGAGTCACTTCCTTAGAAAAAAAGACACATGTATCACCCAGAAAATTCTAAGGGATTATGAGCACCATGTCAGGAACTGGAATCAAAGACCCAATATCAGAACCAAAGATATACCTAGCACCCCTATTAGTCAGGAAACTACAAGGGTTTTAGTAGCTTTGTGCCAGGAACCAGGAGCAGAAACAAAATATATATTTCCCATTATACCACAATATCACAGGTTTATATATGAAGATTTATACATGTCTGCAATTCTCTAATTCCGAAAACACAAAATGAAAATAGTAATAATCTCTGTCTTAAAATGACCATTGTGGGAATTATATGAGAGAATGCAGATAAAGTGTTTAGCAAAATGCTAGCACATGATAAACACGCTCAAAATGTTATCTATATTATTATTAATTATTATTATTACCACTATTTATTCTCTAACTTAATACTGGATCTCTATAAAGAAGAAAAATCATCGCCAATACCCTGCAGAATGTTCTGAAGTGATAATGCATCTGGGAAATTAGTTGGAAGTGAGAGTAAGATAAAAGTTTTCCATTTTTATAGAGCTCAAAACTTCCTTCATTCACAGTGAATATTCTATTCCAAGTATATTAGTTTTCTGTTGCTGAGTAACATATTGCCACAAACTTAGCAGCTTCAAACAACATGCATTTCTCCGGGAGCTCAGAAGACCAGAACCGTGTGGCTGGATCACCTGCTTAATCTTATAAGCCTAAAATCAATGCAGAGGTCAGAATGGACTCTTATTTGGAGGCGCCGAGGAAAAGTCCATTTCTAAACTTACTCTGGATGTTGGCTGAATTCTGTCCCTTGAGGTTGTAGCCTGAAGGTTCCTCTTTTCTTACTGGCTGCCAGCTGAGGTCCACTTTCAACACTTACAGTTGTCTACATTCCTTGCCTCATGGCCCCTTCCATCTCCAAGTCACCAAGGCTGCATCAAATCTTTCTTGTGCTTGGAATCTCTGGCTTCCCTGACGCTGCCCTCTAGACCTGAATTTAAAGGGTTCATGTAATTACATTGAGTCACCTCGAAATTTTTTGTATCTTAATGTTGACTAACTTGAGGCCTCAATTACATCTGTAAAATCCTTTCAAGGCAACACTTAAATTAGTGTTGACTGAGTAATGAGAGAAGGAGTGTATATACCCCAAGAATTTTGAGGATGCTCTCAGAATTCTGGCTACCACACTCAGTGTGTTCTCTCATTTAGTGATGTTAACAAGACTCAGACGTGAAAAGAACTGTGGTCTCTTCCTCCCCATTTTCTCATGGGACCAGGATACCTCTGAAACAGCACTTGCTTCTCTCAGGGATATTCAGAGGTGTCTGCCCAGTTCAGACCCAGTGCTTTAAAAGAGGTTGGGTGATTCATCTCATGCAGACTGAAAGCCACATTCATCAACAAATAGAAATTATTTAATATGAATTTATTTTCTTACAAGAGCTTTGGAAATCTTTATTTTAAAAACAAAGCTTAAAAAATAAAGTGTATCAGGATGTTTTCCTTATATAAACATAAAACATACCTGAAAAATTTATATGAACCAACAGAGGAAAGAAAAATAATCTCTAGTCCTGTCACATAAATCTAGTCCTTTAGGCATTTTGGTATATTTTCTTCCAATCTTTTTTCTATGTATTAAAGTTTTTTAATAGTCACTCTGATACCAAATATTAATTTTTGTTTTCTACTTTTTCCCACTTTGCATTAAAGCATAAGCAATTCCTTATGTTATGTTATTTCATAATCTTTTGATTATTGCCTCGTGTCTCCTGCATGAATGTAACTATAACTTACATACCATTTTACCTGCTGTAGCTGCTTAGGTTTTCTCCAATTTCCCATTATCATAAGTACTGTTTCAATCAAGAGCTTTTTGCGTAAAACTTCTGCATTTAGTATTATTTTCCTAAGAATTGTTTATAGAAATGAAATCTCTTAGCAAAAGATAGAAGATTTCATTTTAATCCTAACTTGATATATTTCCTGAGATGTTCTTAACAGAATTCCCCTTTGGTCTCCTTTTAAATGTCACTTTATTCTCCATTGTTGAAATTGAACTGGGGATAAGATATTGATTAGCTGCAACCATTGACTACTCATTGACTCTCTTTGCACTTGGCAAAATAAAGTTCAGAACTCTCCTGGGAGTTGTGAGGGAACAAGGGACCAGGCAAAGACGCCACCACTGCTGTTTGAAAAGATATTTCAAGGACAGTGAAAGCAACAAATCCTGTAATTGTCAACCACAATGAAAATAAGCTAGCTTTAAATAAGAAGACCTCACACATTTACTACCACAGTCTCTTTCTTTGTGACATTATCATTCCCATGCTGTGGTACCTAGAGAGTTATGTGGTCCATGAAAAAGGATAGCTCAATGTCACTTTTGTGTAACTGCAGCTTAATAAACATTTTTAGGTCGTAAGTTGACCATGAAGAGATCATTTTAGTTCACCTACATCAAAGAGATCTCCCTTTTGTTTTGGCTGTGCTTTGGCAGACAAAGGCCATGAACTTTGGCCGTGTTTGTTTTTGTTTTGTTTTGATTTTGGCCCTGCATAGTGCTGTCAAAATAAAAGATATGTTGCAGCTGTTCTTTGAGAGATTTATGCCCATGTTGTCTCTTCCCTTCCATCTACCTCATAGATAGAAGACAGGCTCCAGTGGTAGACGTTCACTAACGAGGTGGAGTAGAAATAGCATGAGCTATAGCAACAGCTAGATGGAGTTGCAAATTCCTGTTCTTCCACATATGGCCTGTGGGACCAGGGGCAAGTAATTTATTTAATTTTTATGAGCCTTTGCTTTCTCATCTGTAAAATGGAAATGGTGATGCTTATATTGAAATGTTGTTTGTAACAAAACTTTTCAAGACTTCACCAATCCAAAATGATTATGCCTCTTAGTTCTTACTTGGTGACTTCCATCTCAGCACATTTAACCACCCTCCCCCACCACAACTGACCACTTCTGAATTATTTTTGGGACTTCCAGGTACATCTCCTGTCTACATTTTATTCATTTACTCAACAAATATTTATTAAGGTCATACCAGATGCCAGGCACCAGGGATCAATGAACAAGACAAATAAGGTCCCTGCTTTTGTGGAGTTGACATTCTAGTGAGAAGAGAGATAAGAAAACAAGATAAGCATATTTGTATTAAGCAATGATGAGGACCACCAAGGAATATAAAACAGGGTTGGGGTAGAAGATGGAAAATGGGGAATGAGGTGCCTGAGGTCTCTCTGGGGACAGATAGTTGAGGATATCTGCCAGCCACTTAGGCCATTTGCTTCATAACTGCTTCTGCTGATGCATTCTTAGGAGGGAGGGCCTGTGGTCTGTGGTTGGAGGGAGTTGCCAGTGCAGTGGGATACCCTGATTCTGTATTTCCCTCCTCTTTTGACTTGGTTGAATGATACCACTCAGTTCCCAAAGTGCAATGCCTCCCTATCTTTTCATGAACCTAGAACCAACCGTTGGGTTCTTGCCCTACCCCTTCCATCCCAACTGTAAAGACTAAAGTATTCCTTAATGTTCTTTGAAAACAACTCAATCCTTCTCAGGTCAAAATAAAAGCTCTCATGCTTATCAACTCATGCACATGAATGCTTTGATGGGGAACACTGCATCTACCATCCAGGTGCCAACCAGAAGGGAGTATGTTAAGTCCTCACTTAACATTGTCCATAGGTTCTTGAAAAAGGAAACTTTAAGCCAAATGACCTATAATGAACCAATCTGTTTTCCATCAGTGTTACAACAAAATGACATTGAAGGAAAACAACATTATTTGAAGACCTGCAGTATATCATTTCGCTTAAAGTAGCAGTGTCCAAGAACCTATGAAGGATGTTAAGTGGCAGTTGAATCTAGCTTTCCCACTTGCTAGCTTTGCAACTCTGGGAAAATTGGTGTCCTTATCTGTAAAAGGGCCAGGAATAAAGCTCTACCTCATGGGCTGTTTTTTTTTTTTTTTTTTTTTTTTTTTTAGAATAAAACAAGGTAATACAGATAAAGTGCTTCCAATCATGCCTGCCAAATAATAAATGCCAGTGGGTTTTATCATTACATAAAGGCAAAAGGCCTTAGACAGTGGATCCATTACAAGGACTCAACATGAATCCTAGTTGATTAAAAAATAATAAAAATACCCTGGGTGTGGTGGCTCACGCCTGTAATCCCAGCACTTTGGGATGCCGAGGCGGGTGGATCATGAGGTCAGGAGTTCAAGACAAGCCTGGCCAAGATGGTGAAACCCCATCTCTACTAAAAATACAAAACAAAAAAAAATTAGTTAGGCTCGGTGGCAGGCATCTGTAATCCCAGCTACTTGAAAGGCTGAGGCAGGAGAATCACTTGAACCTCGGTGGCAGAGGTTGCAGTGAGCTGAGATCATGCCACTGCACTCCAGCCTGAGTGACAGAGTGAGACTCCCTCTCAAAATATGTAGATATATAAATAAAAAAGTAAAATAATAATAATAATGAAAATAAAGGAACTATAGGATCAGAGTTTGGTGGTTGTCGTCTGGGTAGGGGGAGGTCCTATGTGATGCAAATTGCTATTGTGACCAGGCCTTGTTAGAATTAAGAGAACGTCTCAAGTCTTAACAACTTATTAAGGTAAAGAAAACAGTCAATTAAAGTCCAATTGAAAAGACAAAAGCCTGCCTCAGGGAAAATTATAAAAATATTTTTGGTTGAGGGGCAGTTGGAAGAGTTTCCCTTAAGAAATGTTGTTTGATTTACTCCAAGTCCAAAACCACTTGGAAAAAAAACAAACAAACAAAATCAAAAAACAAAAAATGGCCAAGGGACCTTATAGAGCAGTCAGCTATCTTCTAATAAGTCAGTGACTAAACCCCTGTCTTTAATGAACTTCATTTATTCTTGTCCCAGGGACGCTAGAAGCCCTTTGCTTAGTACTTTAATTGCTTTCTTTCTTCACTGTTTAAAGCCAGCTTCACAGGTGTAGACACAGAACTTAGATCATACCTTTAGTGATGTTCAAGCGGGAGGTAACACCTTACCTGAATGGCTGGTCGCTAACCTGTATGGGGTCATCTCCATGGATCCCTGCATATAGAAACCAACCCTTGGAGACTGCTCCAACCAGGTTCTCTCAGTAACCAGACTGCCTGAGGCTGTTTTTAAACTATAAAACCCATAAAGTGAAATTTATTGCACTTTGCTGTATTTCACTAGAGTTAGAGGGCTCTGATAAAATTTACTGCTTAGATGTAAAACTCTATTGGTAAGAAAATGAACTGTTTTCTCAGGCACTCCTGTTGGGCCATTTTGATCCTTGTCCTGAATCCCCAGACCTTGCTAGAAGGCTTTCCTCATTTCAGCATAATTGAGGACAGGTAAATATAACAACTCCAGCTTTTCAGACTTGTGGCCAAGTCTGACAGGGCTAACCTGACCTGCACCCAGAGGCCCCAACTGATTCTGCTACTGCTAACATTCACCTTGAAAGACTGCACAGTTTGCCATGCTTTCTCTTCTAAAGAGT
Organism: Homo sapiens; assembly: GCF_000001405.40. Lineage (NCBI taxonomy): Eukaryota > Metazoa > Chordata > Mammalia > Primates > Hominidae > Homo > Homo sapiens. The sequence goes on along the minus strand of NC_000011.10, from coordinate 30,798,601 downwards.
GGAGTTGCAAATGGTGGTAAGAAGCCTGGCATGCTGAGGGTTGTGTTTGCTCAGGAAATGAAGATGGGAGTGGGAGGTGGAAAGGAGGGTAGTGGGGTCATCCTAGAGCTTCAAAGTTCATTTAATTAGACAGGACTTTTTCATTGTGCTAGGATGTTGCCTTCATGACCAGAATTCACCGCATCTCAAGAAAAGTATTGTGGGGAACTAATAAAAGACGTATTTTTCCAAGATCTTGCCCTCTCCAAGAAAAGTATTGTGGGGAACTAATAAAAGACGTATTTTTCCAAGATCTTGCCCTCTCTCATCCTCTTCAAAATGTAACAGAAAGAGGGGAAGATGAAGAGAGAGAGAGAAATAAAGAAAAAAAAGGAAGGAAGATGGAAAGGCAGAAAGAGGGAAAGAGAGAAAAAAGGGATAAAGGAAAAAACTTTTCGATGAAAAAGCCTGGCAATTTCTTTTTTGTTCTACATTTCCTCAACATATCTGCCCAACAGTAAACATTCTTCACTTAAAATGTGTGTAGATGTTTGTGTGTATGTGTGTGTGTGTTTGTGTAATGCAGTAAGTCAGTGTTTCCCCAAATGTGGAATGCCTGTGAGTGCTATGAAAAATGTTTTAGGTGAGCAATGGATAAATTTATTTGAGTACTCATGATTTATTTTGACATAGATTGGAAAAATACTGGTTTTCTACTTATCGCAGTGATGAAAAAATATATTTTTAAAAATAAATGGCTGGGCGCGGTGGCCCACGCCTGTAATCCCAGCACTTTGGGAGGCTGTGGCGGGCGGATCACGAGGTCAGGAGTTCGAGACCATGCTGACCAACATGGTGAAACCCCGTCTCTACTAAAAATACAAAAATTAGCCGAGCGTGGTGGTGCATGCGCCTGTAATCCCAGCTACTCAGGAGGCTAAGGCAGGAGAATCACTTGAGCCTGGGAGGTGGAGGTTGCAGTGAGCCGAGATCGCGCCACTGCACTCCAGCCTGGGTGACAGAGCGAGACTCCAATCCCCCCCAAAAAACCAACCAACCAAACAAACAAAACCCATATTCAGTAAAAGAAGTCCATGTAAAGAAAAAAAATGACTCATAGCATCATAGCAAAACTTCTTACGTGGTGCTAGAATGACCAATGTTTGGAAAACATTACAGTAAAGGAACTTGAGACATCTGGGGGAAATAAAATTGTACTGTCTTTGTTTTGTCTTGTATTTTTTGTATCCCTCTCCCCCATCCACACACTTTTTGGGGCAGAGACACTGTTATGCGCTCTCCACACTGTTTTGTTTACTGTTTTGTTTCCCTCTTGAGCACATGGGAAGATAGCAAGTCCTTACCCTCCCTCTCCACAATGGGGCCTTGTGATTACTTCTGGTCATTGTAAAGTAGGTCATTGAAATGGCTGAGGGGAAGCTCGCCATTTTCAGGCCCATCCCTTAATACATGATCTTTCATGAGTTATCTTTCTGTCTGGTCATCTGATGGCTGATTGCAGAGGGCCCAGCTGAACTGGTTGCTTCCAGGAGCTTACAGTCTCCTCGATAAAATCAACACATAAGTACCTAATGATACTGCAAGGCAGATTGATATACATGCTAAAAGAAGGTAACACAGGATGTCAAGGGATTACAGGGGAAAAATGAAAATGTAATAAAAGCAAAGACAACAGCAGCATTTATGGAGTTCATGCTATGTGCCAGGACTTGTGCTTAGCACTTTACTTGCATTATCCCCTTTAATCCTCACTGCAACCCAACCAAGAAAGAAAGTAACATTTAAGAGGTATAATGACTGGCCTGGGTTCCCTTATTTCTTGTCAAGGCCAGAATTTAAATACAGGAAACTTGAAAAGGAGGCCAACTTGACTAGCATACACAGTCTGATTAGCTGCAGAGATGAGAAAAAGTGGATGAGGTAAAGAGAGAAATTGAAGATGACACCACCATTTCTAGACAATATGCCAGGAAAAAAGGAATGATTATTAACCATAATACAAGTTATTGCCTAATCTCACCTATTTCTTGGTGAGAACAAATATTTCCATTTATATCATGTGAAATTTAGGATACTGATGGGTCTCTTGTTGAAAATGATACTTAGAAATGCAAATCCGTGTATCAGAAGATAGGTCAAGCCCCAAAATAAAGATCTGGGGGTCATTAGCACTCAGGAGCTAAGTGTAACCAGAAAACAGGTCAAAATCATTTAAGGAGAGAATGCAGAAGAGGATAAGACCACTGATAATACTTGAAACTACCTTTTGCTTAAAGACAGAATAACAAAGAGAAGTAAAGTAATTGACAGAGACACAAAGAAACTGCCAAAGAACTAGAAGGGCTCTATATAGATTCAATGTAATTCCCTTCAATAGCTATCTTTGTAGTGCTCATTAAGTCTAAGGCACTAAACTAGGCTTAGTGGATGATGCTGTATATAAGATGCCTAAACACTTTCCTTCTAACCAGGAAAGCATCCTTCCTCCTGTACATATGATAATAAAGGACTAGAAAGAGAGAAAGGTATGTACAGTCAATTTCAAAGATGTTCTACCTCTGCTGCCCTTTGAGACTGGATATACACAGGAGACCACTTTGATCAAATGAATTAAATGAGTTTAAACAAACAACTAGGCAAATCAGCAAACAACTTTTCCCACCGAATTTTTCTAGTCTTTTTCCTGTTTTTTTTCTTTCCTGAAAATCTATGATTCTAATGTCTCCAATCCTATTCTTTTCACTATTCCCAAATGCAGGTTAAAGTTGCTTTGTCATATTAAAACTAAATAGAGGAGCAATTGTTTTTATGGAGCTGAAGGATTATAGAGATGCAGTATGGTTAGAAGGGACCTTATGGGTCATTATGTCCAAAACTGTTTACTTTTACAGATGAGGAAAATGAGTCAGAGGAAAGCTGAAGTGATTGGACTCTTATTGTCAGTGGCTGGACAGGGCCAGACCTGGAATACCAATCTCCTGCTTTCAAATTCAACCCTTTCTCTATCATATGTTTCCCTTCCTACAATTTGTCCACAGCCGCACAGCTAGTTGCCAGTCTCCTGAAACTAATATTTCTAAATATTTCAGTTCTACAAATTCTGGTTATTAAAACGTAGAATACCCCATCAAATCCTTTGGTCAAGTGATGTCCCTTAATTTGAACTCAGATTGTGAAACAAAAATTAGACACAAACCCCCGCAAAGAAGCCAGGATCTTACAAATGCCATAATATCTTTCCTTTGAACATAAGAAAACATTTTTTGATTCATAGATTGAAGATTTGCCAGTAGAAGGATGAATAGAAGAGAGAGTAACATAGATCAATACTGTTTTCTTTTCACAAACTCTGAACTAGTGAAGTTGTAACTTTTTTCATATTTACCCTTAGTAATTACTTTAGCAATAGACATGATTTGTATTGATGCAGTAACAACTCATGAGCATATATTATTAGAGGATGAAAGATACATTGAATCAAGTAGTGTTGAATTAAAGAGAAAATGGTTAAAGAAATTCACTCCTGGGCTGAGAAATTATATGTCAAGCTATAGCCTAAAGTGAATTTTTATGGCTGAGTTACAAACCCTTGGAAATACTGAGACACTTAACTGCAGTTGGTATCTTTACGATTATATCACCTTTAGAAACTAGCAGATTTGCTCCAGTGCAGCTGCAGCCCCAGGAAATGAGGAAAGGCTGTGCTGGAAGGGGACCTGCATACATTTTGGGCCATCTAATGAATAGAGGAAAAGGATGGGCTTAGGACCAGGACAAGGAAAAGAGATGGGGCTGGGAGGCTGAGAATAGGAAACCAAGGGGACAAGGGGAGCAGGAAAAGGAAAAATATGAAAAGGGAGAGAAATTGAGACCATTTGAATGTCAAAATAATTATTACAGATTAGAACCTATTAAACACTATTGAATAGAATAGGAATCCATGAATCAATACTGATATAAATTAATTAATATATAAATAGGGAAGAAGCAGATGCTCTTTTTAATAATAGAATACCAGCTAATCAATTAAGAATGAATGATGGAATTAGAAAAATCATCATTTGGCCAACATGGTAGTAATAATTGATTCAAGTAAGAATGAATATACTGGCTACAATAGTGGGTAAAAATTAGATGAGAAACAGGATACTTACATACCCTCAATGTCGCTTCCCATAAGACACTTGTAAATTACAAACGAAAAATGGTAGTGGAGAATCTGGTAGACACAACATTAAGGAAGATGTCAGAGTTGACTTACCAGTAATAGGACAAATAGACATTATATGACTTCTGATATAATGAATTGAAGACATAACATCACTTTCGTGTTGTTCCTGCCTAAAATGTGTTACTGGAGTCTGGTCATGAGGAAGCCCAAACTGAGGATAAACCCTAACTGAGGAATATTCTACAAAATAATTGGATGGTGCTCTTCAGAAATGTCAAGATCATTAAAGACAAGGAAAAATGGAGGAAATATTCCAGATTAAGGGAGTCTAAAGAGACAGGAAATCTAAATGTAACGTGTAATCTGGGATTAGACCCTGGTTGAGAAAAATGAAATTTGCTATACATTTGCTCTGCAAATTAGATAATAGTGTTGTATCAATGCTATTTTTGGATTGTAATAACTTTACTGTTGTTGTGAAAGAAAATATCCTTATTTTTATGATTAAATATTTAGGGGTTAAGGGGCATTTGTCTACAACTTATTTCCAAGTAGCTTGGAAAATAAATTTATATTTATGGAGAAGGAGAGAGCATTTGAGAGAGAGAGCAAGAGAGCTTGATAGCAAGAGAGAGAGACAGCGCATAAAGCAAATATGGAAAAATGCTAGCAGAGTATTTAGGGAAGCTCAGTGGTGGGTATATAATTATTTGTACTAGTCTTTCAATCCTTTCATGTATCTGAAATTATTTCCAAAAAGAAAGTCTTAAAGAGAAAGAATAGATGATGTTTGTAGGGGGAGGAAAGTGAAAAAGAGATAAGTATTCAATATAAAGAAAGAGAAAGAAGAAAGTAAAAGATCACAAAAGGGAGAATAGATGAGGAAAATAAATGTGTCAACTCTAATAAAGAACTTTGGTTTTGTGTACTTACAAAGTCTATTTCAAGGCCCATAAATCTGGGAGCTCATAGATTCTTATGAGTTTAAGAACTCCCGGAGCTGGGCTGCAAGATATAACAGGCAGGCATGTGAGTCTTTTCTTGGGAGGTTTGCTGACTTTCTTTAGATCAGAAAAGATGGCCAACCCCCTCACCCACCTACCTGATAAAGCTTGAATGTGTTTCCATCCAAATCTCATGTTGAAATGTAATCCCCAATGTTGGAGGTGGGGCCTGGTGGGAGGTGACTGGATCATGGGGGAGGATTTCTCTTGAATAATTTAGCACGATCCTCTTGGTGCTGTCCTCACAATAGTGAGTTTTCATGAGATCTGGTCTTTTAAAAGTGTGCGGCACCTCCTCGCCTCTCTCTTGCTCCTGCTTTTGCCATGTGATGCGCAAGTTCCCTCTTCGCCTTCCACCATCATTGGAAGCTTCCAGAGGCCTAGCCAGAAGAAGATGTCATTATGCTTTCTGTGCAGCCTGCAGAACCATGAGCCAATTAAACCTCTGTTCTTTATAAGTTACCCAGTCTCAGATATTTCTTTATAGCAAGAAAGAATGGCCTAACACACCAACCCTGCCTCAGAGTTTAATAAAAGATGCCCATTTAGACACGATATTTACTAGCTGCTGAATCTACCAGACTTCTCAGTAGCCCCTTTCTTCTTCAAACGTTCTCAGGAAGAGGAGAAAGGCTCCGTCCTCCCCATAACAGCTTTCCTAACCTTTGTGAAGCCAGTATGTCAAGAGACGTTTGGAAGTGTCTGTCCTTCTAGAATTTGTCAATTAGTCTGGTCCATGTCAAAGGTAGGAAAATCAGAAGTGATCTCTTGCTCAAAACAAAAAACAACTTTCTTTGGTATGGCAGAAAGGACCAGGCCATTGCCAGAGGACTGTTTCTTTGAACATAGGAGCCTCAGAGAGGCTTTGGGGAAGAAGATGTGTAGAGGGAACATGGGGTCCCTATCTCTCAGCAGAGGCCATGGCTTCTGGGCCACAGTGATCAGGCAGTGAATGTGTTCTAAAACCTCAGGCCAAAGAAGAGAACATCAGTCGTCATTCAAATGTCTTCTCTATTCCTGCTCTTCTTCACTTTCTGCAAGATCCTTCTTAAGCAAAAGTGAAATGTGTTGCCTCCTGTAAATAGAAAATTCCATAAGTGGGCAGCATCAGACATTGTGTACAAACAAGTCACCAGTGCTCTTTCTCTGGCTCTCTCCCTTTGCTTTCCTTTCTCCCAGTGTCATTTGCAGGCATGTACTCTCCTACATCACAGTTCTGAGTAGTTCTGGATTTGCACGGTCCTTAATTAGGGTGACCACATATCACAGTTTGTCCAGAATAAGTCCAGTTTACATCTATCATGCCAGCATGTGTATGGATAGCAACCCCTTTCACTCTCAAAAATGTCCTGGTTTGCATGATAAATCATTCACTCACTATATTTTTAATTTTCATGATCTTAGAAGGAGATATTAAGGTGAACTCTTATTAAAAAGTGTTGCAAAAAGTCTCTAGCCCTGCTAATGTCACTTGATCACCTCTCAACCAATTACCATCTCCCAGGGGATGAGGTTTTCTGGTTGGTCAGTTGGTCATGTGCCCATCTCTGATGTTAACAAGTCATGTCTTTGTAATTGATGGCCCTGTCAGAATGGGAGGACTTGTTCTGGAAAAGCAAAGAGACTAATAAGCAAACATGAAATTAACATGTGACCCTTATACAATACACGCCTGAGGTTCTGCTCATATTTCATATAACTAGTTGGCTGGTTTTTTATTTCACATTTTCCATTTTCCTCCTCTCCTCATCCCCATGATTTTGTATTGCCACCCTCCCAGCCCCATCTCTTTTCCCTGAAGTGGTCCTAATTGTTATTCTCTACCTCTAATGAGCTGCAAACTCTCAGAAATCAAAGCTTAGACATAGAAACAGATCTAGATGGTATAGATATTGATATAACTATAGATATAAATATAGATCCCCATCACAGGTAGAAGGCCCTTATGCCCAGAGGAAATGCTCTCCAAATGTCTTTAACATGAATTAAACTTGGCCGGGTGTGGTGGCTCACGCCTGTAATCCCAGCACTTTGGGAGGCCGAGGCGGGCAGATCATGAGGTCAGGACATCAAGACCACCCTGGCTAACATGGTGAAACTCCGTCTCTACTAAAAATAGAAAAAAATTAGCCAGGCCTGATGGCACCCACCTGTTAGTCCCAGCTACTCAGGAGGCTGAGGCAAGAGAATCGCTTGAACCCGGGAGCTGGAGGTCGCAATGAGCCGAGATCGCACCACTGCACTCCAGCCTGGGTGACAGAGCGAGACTCTGTCTCAAAAAAAAAAAAAGAATTAAACTTTTGAAATAAAAACTAGGCCGGGCACGGTGGCTCACACCTGTAATCCCAGCACTTTGGGAGGTCGAGGCGGGTGGATCATGAGGTCAGGAGATCGAGACCATCCTGGCTAACATGGTGAAACCCCGTCTCTTTTAAAAAATACAAAAAACTTAGCCGGGCGTGGTGGCGGGCGCCTGTAGTCCCAGCTACTCCGGAGGCTGAGGCAGGAGAATGGCGTGAACCCAGGAGGCGGAGCTTACAGTGAGCCGACATCTTGCACTGCACTCCAGCCTGGGCAACAGGGCGAGACTCCGTCTTAAAAAAAAAAGTAATAAAAACTAAAACTAGGCTGGGCGCGGTGGCTCACGCCTGTAATCCCAGCACTTTGGGAGGCCGAGGCAGGTGGATTACAAGGTCAGGAGATCGAGACCATCCTGGCTAACAGGGTGAAACCCTGTCTCTACTAAAAATAGAAAAAACAAAACAAAACAAAACAAAAAAACTAAAACTAGTGTTCAGGTTGCAAAATAATTTTTATATATATCATCTAGTTTGTTTCTCACAGTGATTTCATGAGATGAATATTCTTTTCATCCCTTTGTTGCACTTCTGGAAACTGAAGCATAAGATTACATACCTTTTTTAACCAAAATAATGTAACTCGAATTCCAGTTTTATGATTTTAATTTTCATGATTTTTCCCCACATCTATGAAACTGAGTACTGTTTTATTTTTCCCATTTGTTTACCTTTCCCCCCCTGCTATAATGCATGATCACTGTAAAAATAAAACAAAACAAAAAACGAGGAGGGGGTGGAGAGAGAAGAGGACAAGGAAAACCATAAAGTTAAAAGGTTTATATTCCCTTTACTCAGGGATAATCAATATTAAGACTCTATTGCCTTTCTTTCTTTCTTCTTCTTTCTCTTTCTTTCTCCTTCCTTCCTTCCTTTCGTTCTCATCCTTCTCTTTCTTTTCTTTCTTTCTTTTTCTTTCTCTCTCTTTCTTTTCTTTTCTTTTCTTTTCTTTCTTTCTTTCTTTCTTTCTTTCTTTCTTTCTTTCTTTCTTTCTTTCTTTCTTTCTTTCTCCCTCTCTCTCTTTCTCTTTCTTTTTCTTTCTTTCTTCTCTCTCTCTCTCCTTCCTTCCTTCTTTCCTTCTTTCTTTTTTTTGTTTTCTTTCTTTTTCCTTCTTTCTAAGTTGGAGTGCACTGACACAATCTTGGCTCATTGTAACCTCTGCCTCCCGGGATCAAGCCATCCTCCTACCTCAGCCTCCCCAGTAGTTGGGACTACAGGTGCACGCCACCATGCCTGGCTAATTATTTTGTATTTTGCGTAGAGAGGAGGTTTCACCACATTGCCCAAGCTAGTCTTAAACTCTTGAGCTCAAGCAATCTGCCCGCCTCAACCTCCCATGATGCTAGGATTACAGATGTGAGCCACCACACCTGGCCTCTAGGCTTTCCTTTATGGATATGAAACGTGCTGTAGACTGAATTGTGTGCCCCCAAATTGAAGTCCCAATTCCAATGTGACTATATTTGGAGGTAGAGCCTTTAAGGATGATAAAAGAAAAAGCATCAGCCAAGTTAAATTTAAAGGCGTTTAATTGAGCAATGAATGATTCACAAGTCAGGCAGCCTTCTGAGCCACAGCAGGCTCACAGATTCCAGCACAGCCACATGGTGGAAGAAGATTTATGGACAGACAAAGGAAAGTGACATTCAGAAAATGGAAATGAGGTTCAGAAACAGCTGGATAGGTTACAGCTCAGCTTTTGCCTTATTTCAACACGGTCCCAACAGTTGGCTACATTTGATCGGCCAAAACTCAGTGATTGGCACAAGTGTAGGCTATGGTTTGTTTACACCTCCACTTATTATAGTTCACAATGTACAGGAAAACCTTTAGGCCGAACTTAAAATACATAAGGAGGCAACTTTAGGCTAAACTTGATTTAACAAGGAGGTAGTTGAAGTTAAATGAGGTCATAAGGATGGGACCCTAACCCAACAGGACTAATGTCCTTATAAGAAAAGGAAGAAACATGGGGTATGTGCCCTACACAGAGAAAAGGTCATGCGAGGACACAGCAAGAAGGCAGTCATCTGCAAACCAGGAAGTGAGGCCTCACCAAAAACCAATGTGGCTGTCACCTTGATCTTGGACTTCTAACCTCCAGAACTGTAAGAAAATAAATGTCTATTGTTTAATCCACCAGTCTCTGATATTCTCTTATGGCAGCCCAAGTAGACTAATACAGAACATATATTTTAAATAAAATTAAGATTATTCCACAGATTCCATTTTGAATCCTTCCTTTTTCACTCATTAAAATTTTTCCAAAAAGTTAAATATTCTTGGCAAGCTGATGTTTGAAATGAATGCATGATATTTCATCATAAGGATATGTCCTTGTGATACTGTAAAATATATATTTGGTCTTTGTTTTTGTTTCCTGACATGCAGCTCCTAAAATGATTAAAATCTCTGGAATGATAAGTGTCTTTTATATGCTAATAAGATGACTGGTGGCTGGGGTCCCCTAGATAGCTTCAGGATGGGGGCTTGTTACTGAGAAGACCAAGAGATGATTAGAGAGTTGGGATTTTCAGCCTTAACCCCAACCTCTGAAAAGAAGTAAGGGGCTGAAGCTTGAGATGATCACCAATGGCCAATGATGTAATCAATTGTGCCTAGTAATGAAACCTCTATAAATCCCAAAAGGACTAGGATCAGGGAGCTTTCAGATAGCAGAATATGTGTAGGTGCCTGGAGGGTGTTATTCTGGTTGTACATGGTTGGAAGCTTCATGTCCCTTCTCATATGCTTTGTCCTGTGCATCTCTTCCATCTGGCTGTTCTATCCTTCATAACAAATAGGTCAACACAAGTAAATTGTTTCCCTGGGTTCGGTGAGGACCTGTAGCAAATTAATCAAACCCAAGAAGGGGTTTGTTAGAACCTTGAATTCATAGCCAGTCCATCAGAAGCAGAGGTGACAACTACTACTACTTGCAACGGGCACCTAAAGCAGGGTACAGTCTTGTAGGACTGAGCCCTCAACTTGTGGGATCTGTTACTAACTCCAGGTAGATAGTGTAAGAATTGACTTGAATTAGAGAACACCCAGATGGTGCCTGCTGGAGAACTCGTTGGTGCGTGGAGAGACTACCCCCAACAGATACACATCTAGTGTCAGAATTGCTTGGTTGGTGTGAAAGAGAGTAGGAAACACATTTTGGTTTTTCCCTATCTCCAAATAGCCCTGGACTGTTTAACCAATCCTCTTATTGGACATTTGAGGATCATCCAATTTTCTATTACAAAAAAAATTACAATAAAACTATAATAAATATACCTTATTAGAAACCAATATTGGACTGCACTTCTAATATTTTACTTTTAATATGTTTATACAGGTAAGGAAACATTTACCATTTTGATATAATATGCCAAATTGCTTTCCAGAATTATTGTATGAAATTTCACTTTCACATGCATTATTTCAGAATCCTTGTTTCACTGCATACTTTCCACTTTTAAGTATCATTTAAAAATATTTAAATATTTTTAAATATTTAATAAAATTTAATATTTAATAATACTTAATATTTAAATATTTACTAATTTGATAGGTGACAATTTTTATCTTATTTCTGTTTTAATGTGCATTTGTTTTGTTCTTAGTAAAAGAATTTTTTATGTGTTTTATGCATTTATTGGGTGTTTGATTTCTTCTTTTATGAATTGTCAATATCCTTTTACCATCTTTGTAGTTGGTTGATTTTTAATTTTTATTGATTTTTAAGCACTCTTTACATATTGTAGACAATAACTTAGTTTCTGTCTCCTTTGTTATAAAATTTTCCTTATTTTAATGTATTTTTGTAAATATCTAACCTCATTTAATTGGGTAACAATTAAAACCACAAGTATATCCCCTTATAACCAGAAGGGACTGTATTTCTCTCTCCTCCTTTGAGTGGTTCTAATGTCCAAAAAAGGTCTTCCATGTACTGTAAAGCCTTGTTATAACTTGGTTCATTATCACACAGATTTTAGGTTAAGGTAGGTCAAGGCATGTTCCCTGAACTAAGCTTTGTTTTGTGAAAGACTGATGTTACACAGTTAACCTCTAACCTAGTCCTAATTCTGTTCTCAAACTCCAACATCATATAGAAATACTACAAGGGTTTGAAGTGTTGAGTAAGATAGGTCCAGAATTTCCAATTACTGAAAGAGGGACTCAGCCCAGCACTTTCAAAGCCTGACATGAAATAACTACCACCTTATTTGAAAAGTGCTGTTTTAATCTGTGTCATGGCAACAGTCAGAGTCTTTGGCCAAGATAAATAATTAACTTTCTAACTATTGCGGGGACTTTGTCTTTTGTTTTACTAAGGAACTATGAATCTGTGCCAAACATATTTTGTGTTTCTAAATCATCCAACTGTAATATGAGAATAATATATTTTAACTTTATTGGATAAAATGAAGAAAACTATGTAAACTGGGTCAATCTTCAAGAGGCTTGTAGTAATTTTACATAATGACCTGCCAGGCTTTGTATCACTATTTGAAATCCTGAAGATTCTGCTTGTTTTGCGTGCTTTTCACATATTTAAAAAAATTACCAGCTAGGCTTTTTTTCTGCCCTATTTATGATTGAACAGACATAATCACATTTGAAAGGAATGTTGTTTATGCAGGCCACATGACAGAGAGGAGTTAAAAAAATAAACAGGGGTGCATTACTTGCGGTTTTGCAAAGCACCTCAGTTTAGAAATTAGATTTGTGTTCAAATTTGGCAGATGGCAGGAAGCCTTAGGGGAGCTCCTCTAAACCTCCCCCTTTTTATTCATGAAAACGTGTTCATAATAATAATTTTTTTCCCATCTTAGAAGTTCATTGAGTGATAAAATTCATGTGAAAGCGCTAACAGCACTCACAACCTATAGAATCTATGAGAATAAAACTTGTCCTATGGTAAGGTTTTCTTTAGCCTGCAGGGTGCTTGAAAACAGATGGAGTCCAAGTACCCTTAGACAGTACATGTACTTCCCAAGTCACCATCCTCACTTCTTTTCGTTTTCTTATCCTCTCCTGGCTTTACTCACATGACCTCTCTGGTCTCTGCAAACACTTGAGCGTGGGACCACACTGTTGTTCAAAATGCATTGTACACACCAATGGTATATAGGTACTTGTGTGAAAAAGCAGCTTCCTGGGTCTTAACCCAGGCCTATTGAATCAGAATCTCTGAAATATGGGGCCTAGGAAGTGGTGCTTTTTGTTTTTGTTTTTTTTTTTTGAGAGATGGAGTCTCTGTCCCCCAGGCTGGGGTGCAGTGGTGCGATCTTGGCTCACTGCAACCTCCGTCTCCCAGGTTTAAGCAATTCTCCTGCTGTAGTCTAGCTACAGCTGTGCATCACCATGCCCAGCTAATTTTTGTATTTTTTTAGTAGAGATGGGGTTTCATTTTTGTATTTTTTTAGCAGAGATGGGGTTTAGTAGAGATGGGGTTTAGTAGAGATGGGGTTTTAGTAGAGATGGGGTTTCACTATTGGCCAAGCTGGTCTCGAACTCCTGACCTCAGGTGATCTGCCCGCCTTGGCCTCCCAAAGTGCTGGGATTACAGGTGTGAGCCACTGTGCCTGGCCAGTGGTGCTTTTTAAATAAGAACCCCTGGACAAATGTGAAATACTGTTATTTCTCATCTTTAAAAGAGCAAACATGATGCATGCACAGAGTCTTCAAGGAAATTAAAAAACACTGACTTTCACAACCACAGGCAGAATACTCTGGATGAAGGGTCCAGCTTGGACTCTTATCTGATTGTACACTTTTCATGAATAACATTAAACATGAATAGGAAAAGGCTTGGAAAAGTTATTCACTCATCCTTCATTTTCTCCCCTGTAAAAAAGGGGGTTGTATTTTTAAGTTTTTCTTGACCCAATGCCTATGACTAGATAAGCGTTCTCCTTTGGGGATTGTAAGAGATTGTGTGCCCAGTCCCATGATCAATATGTGACAAACCCTGTTTGAGTCTCTAGATGCATTGTTTAACATTGTTTAAAAAATATTGATTATTATTCTCCGTAATGGACATCTGCTATTTTTACCTTCCTAGCATCTATTCTTCCTTCTTGTGGCAATAAAATTCCATAGACTTTGGAGAACCATCAATCAAGGTGGGACTGTTTATTAAGGTCTTGGGGCCCATGCTTGGCCAATCAGATGTTCTCTTCTTGGACAGGGCACCTTAGATGGTGGGACTCTAGAGCAGAAAGTAGGCAGAGTTCCCATAGAGAAGGCAGCCCCATGAAGAGACCTTGCACAGCTCCTATTACAAAGGCTCAGATCCGCTATGGTTCCATCCTTCCCAAGACCAGTTCTTTAGCGTCTCCTTTTATTGTCTGGGCCACCACAGATCTTTTCAGTTAACTTTTTTTTTTTTTTCACTTGACTTAGCCAGTGACTGCTTCTGCTACTTGCAACCAAAGAAATTTAATTCATCTTCTTGCAAAAGTCTCAGCTCACTCTCTCTCAGCATTTCCACAGCAGCGTTAGTGAAGGCTCTGGTCAGGGAAGGGGCTAAAGAAAGTGCACCTGCAGGAGAATTTTGCCCTCCTAGCTGATGCCTTGATTTAGCCTGGCTTTATAATTCTTGTTTAACTCCCCTGATGCAGTCTGACAGTTTGAGGAGTACTGTTTCTCCATGATAAGAAAGCATTTGCCTTAGGGAGGAGGGAGAAGATTGAATGGAAGTGTTTTATATTCATTTGAACCACAATTATTTTGCTGACACAGGGCAAGGTATTAACAGGGTTTTGCTGTTGGGGAATTAAAAGCCTTTTGGCCTACTCCTTGTTCAGACGTTTCTCATTTTTAATATTGTGGTTTAAATGCAGTAACATGTGGTTAAGAAAAAAATGAAAATGTGTGCCCTGACCTGTATGGATATTCAAATCCCCACGGGATTGTCGTGCTTGGGGAACATCCCAATTTGAAAGGCCTCTACCTTCAGGCTTCTAGCCACCTTTCCTGCTGAATCTCCCTTGACCCTCTCAACCCATCTTTCTTTCTCAGGCCTTCTATTCCGTTCTGTAGCATCTGGTCTCATCCCTTGCTGTGCATTCCAGAGAGAGTTTAAAACACTTGGAGAGTTTTTAAAAATATCGATCCCTCAGCCAACTGTAGAGATGCTGGTTAATTGGTGTGGGATACGGTCCGAATATCAAGATTTATGAAGCTCTCCAAGTGATTCTAATGCACATGCAAGTTTGAAAATCTGTACTCTAGAAAAGGGGTTGGCAAATATGACCCATGGACCAAATCAAGTCCTCCAGTGTTTTGTGAATAAAGTTTCAATGGAGTAGAGCCATGCTCATTCTTTTACAGACTGCCTATTGGTACTTTCTTGCTACATTGGCAGAGTTGAGAAGTTATGACAGAGACCTTATTGCCCACAAAGCCCGCTTAAAATATTTAGTATCTGGCCCTTTTCCATGAAGCCTTTTTCAACTCTGCTCTGGAGCAGTGGTTGTCAACTTTGTACATGTGTCAGAATCACTTTGTAAGACTTGTTAAAATGCATTGCTGGGCCTTCCCTCCAGAGATATTCATTCAGTAGGTCTGAGATAGGGCTCAAGAATTTGCATTTCTTTTTCTTTTTTCTAAAAGACAGGGTCTCACTCTGCTACCTATGCTGGAGTGCAGCGGCACTATCACGCTCACTGAAACCTCAACTCCTGGGCTCAAGAGATCCTCCTGCCTCAGCCTCCAGAGTAGGTGGGACTACAGGTACATGCCACCATGCCTATTTTTAAAATTTGTTTTGTAGAGATGGGGTCTTGTATGTTTCCCAGGTTGCTCTCAAACTCCTGGGATCATGTTCCCAGGGGGAGGTGATACTGCTGATCTGGGAATCACATGTTGAGAACCACTGCTGTAAAGCTGAGCTGCTCAAACTGTAATTGCCTACAAATCACTGTGGTTCTGTCACAATGAAGATTCTGATTCAGTCAGTCAGAAGCAAGTCCTAAGAGTCTGCATTTCTAATGAGTTGCTAGGTCACGCCAGTGCTGCTGGTCCATGGACCAAACTTTGAGTAGCAAGGCTTTTAACACACTTCCGATTTCCCACTTTTGTGCCTTTGTTCATCCCTCTGTTCTCTGCTTAAAATGTCTAATATTTACCCATTCTCAAGCTTTAGTTTTTTCCTCTGTGAGCTGATGCCCTGAGTTCTTTTAATCTCATTAGACTCTATCCATGCCTTTTATATGGTATCTTTCAACTTTTTACCTTCTATCTATTTCACTAGTCAGAAATCACCTTGGCAAGTGTTTTAGACACTACAGGAGGACATATTAGAAACATATAAAGAAAAGGATCACAGGTAATTTGACTGGTGGTATTCTTATATATTTTCTCCTCCTTATTTTCAAGAAGGTGGCAAAACCTTAAGTTCCTTTGTCCCAAGAGAAGTTTGTTACACATTGGAAAGCTGAAGCTGCTTAGAGTCAAGAATGTGTCCTATCTCACATAAAAGCCTAAAATCATCCCAGAGAGAAATGGAGAGAAAAGGGCTCTTGGAGAACATGCAAAGGTAGGGACAGGGCTTTTCTCTCCCAGACTGGGTAGGGAGGCAGCGGTCACTGACCCATGTCCTTATCTTGGGAGCACTCAGGGTGGTGGCAGCAACTCAGAGAGGACCAGTTGTGTGGTGTCCTTGGAGAGACTGGATAATGGGCACTGAGGTTCTCAGGCTTGGAAAGTCAACCTGTCCCACAAGTGGTATACAAGCTGAGAGTTACATGACTTTGAGGGACAACAGGAGTTTGACCACTGCTGTTGTCCATGCTGACTATAGATGCTTAGAGTGATTGCATCTTTCCTCTTCATTCCAGGCACCATATAAGCTTCTCAGATTCTTAAAAAATCTTAAGGGTTTAAGATAAGGGAATTTGGGATCAAATTTGAATTGATCTAAGGAAATTACACAGGTGAGATATATTTTGCAAACCTGAGTTTATGAACTATGATCCACAGTCACACACACGTTTAGAAATGTTACATAAGGAAATAATAATCAGAAGTGTGGCAAAGATTTATCTACAAATATTCTTATCATGTAGTATTTGAAATACTTAAAAAGTAATTATGATACAACTTTAAAATGAACTACTGCTAAAAGTCATGTGCAAAAGAAATTTTAATGACAAGGAAAGTTGTTCTCAATATTTTGTTTGGGACAAATAGGTTATAAAACAGCATATACACGCTGATCTCAACTTTGTTTAAATATAATATATCTCTTCAGGCTCAAAAATGCTGGAAGGATAAAATAAAATATTAATAGTGGTTATCTCTGGGTAGTGAGATTAAGGGTGATTTTTATCCCTTATATCAGAGATAAAATATATCCCTTTTTATACCAGGAAAAAATTAAAAAAAAATAGCTTTGAGTCTTAAAATTAAAAATAATTCTCAATTGGGTTCCATGAGTACTCAAATCTTTACGGCATAATTAAGCCTAATCTCAATTCATATGACATTTTGCTTTTTTCCTCCTAAGGCCTTAGCTAACAAGCTTTAAAGTTACACCTGTGTGACTCACTCACCCTCTGAACATTTTCATCAAATACTGTACTACAGGCTCCTGCCTGCTCTCACTACTATTAGTAACTCCTGTCTCTACACTGTTATCCACATGGCTGTTATAGTTAGCTTCTTAAAGCATAGGGGACTCAGTGCTGAGAAGTTCAAGCCTGGTTCAAATCTCAGCTTTGCTATTGACTAGCTGTATGTCTTCATTAAAACTAAAACTCCCCCATCTGTAAAATGGGGGTGATTGTAATAGACTACCTAAATCAAGATTGTTAGGAGAATTACCACTTTATGAAACATTGAGTGCAGCTATGTTACTTTCACTCTCATTTTGTAAATGACTCTTTATTGTTTGTTTTTTCTTTTATAAAAAATGATGCTTAACTTCTAATCAGGGAAATGTGAATTAAAACCAAAATGAGATAACATTACATATTCAACGGATTGGTAAAGGACATGAAAAAATGAGAACACTAATAAACTGCTAATAAACTGTGATAAATGGCTCGTTGTTATAAATTGATACAACCAGGCTGGGCATGGTGGCTCACGCTTGTAATCCCAGCACTTTGGGAGGCTGAGGTGGGTGGATCACGAGGTCAGGAGTTCAAGACCAGCATGGCTAATATGGTGAAACCCCATCTCTACTAAAAACACAAAAATTAGCCAGCCGTGGTGGCACGCACCTGTAGTCCCAGCTACTCGGGGGTCTGAGGCAGGAGAATCGCTTGAACCCAGGAGGCGGAGGTTGCAGTGAGCTAAGATCGTGCCACTGCACTCCAGCCTGGGTGACCAAGCGAGACTCCAGCTCAAAAATAAATAAATAAATAAATAAATAAAATTGATACAACCTCTTTGGAAACAGCTTGGCGTTATCTAATAACATCAAAGATATGCAGCCTTATTAGCCATCACATCAATTCTACTCCTAATTATATGTTATAAACTTGTGTACATGTGAATCAGAGCACACACTGTGTATGTTTACAGTAGCAATATTTTGAAATAGCATTAAACTAGAAACAACCCAAATGTTCATTGATGGGAGAATAAGCAAAGACATGTGGCATATCCATTCAATGGAATACTCTATAGTGAATAAAAAGGAATGAGCTATAGATAGATGAATAAATATTATAAGCAAACATAAAAGAATACATCCTGTATGATACCATATATATAAAGTTCAAAAAGGAGCAAAACACAAAAGAGTACATACTATAAGATGCCATATATATAAAGTTCAAAAGTAAAAACTAAACTCCATTTTTTGAGCATACAAAAATGTAAGACCTTTTTAAAGAGGCAAGAAAACTAATTACTATAAAAGACAGAATAGTGATTTACCTTTAGAAGGGCAAAGAGAGTATTGTGTTAAATGAGGAAGACACAGGCATTTTCTGGGTTGCTGCCAATATTCTATGTCTTGACTTTGGTATTAGTTACACAAGTATTTATTTTATAATCATTTATTACACTGATATTTATGATTTATGCACATTTCTGTATGAGTGTTATATTTCACATTTTAAAACATTTAAAAAGTATTTAGGGGAATGTTGGGAATATGGCACCCTGAATGTGTCCCTGCTGTTCTCAAATCTCAATTCCTAACAGCAGTCTTCCTCTCCTGAGTCTATCTGGCAGGCAGGCAGGGCATTGAAGGGTAAGAATATGACTTTGGGCTCTGTGGATCCAGACACAGAAAGTTGATGTCAGACTTTTTCTTTTGGCTTTGGACACAGCCTGGAGTTGTAGAGAATTTTGGAGCAAAAATCAGTGTACCATAGTCTTGGAGAGAACGTAGGTTTTGGAACTCTGTGGCATTCCAAGAAGAAGAGTGGTGCCCAGAAAAATATTTCAAGGGGATTTCCTTTTCCCCTTCCCTTGAGAGCCTCAATCAGGTAATTACTACCACCTATCAGCTGGTACTGAACTCGCCGCACTGGCAGAGATATATTTGCGCCTCACCACCCTCAAGAGTGAGTACCCCATAAACTCAGCCTGAGCCTGCAGAGTAGGCAAAGGAAAACTATAATCCACGTAAGGGATCCTAGCAGCCAGAGAAAGAACACTCAGAACATCTGGAAAAGGTGGTTCTTGATTAAATAAAGCTGTTAAAAGAGGCAGGTAATTACTAAAACAATACAAAAAAAGTAATACAAATACCTAGAAGATTCTATGTTTGAAACAGAAGTTTAATTTGTAAATTGAATGACAGAATTCATTAGTATCCAAGAATATCAAATGGAATATGTATTTCAAAACCTTGCAAAAAATACAAAAAGATGGGAATCATGAAGGACAATGTAGAAGACTTGGAAGATAACTAAATGTGAGTAATAGAAGATCTAGAAGGAGAAAAATAAATAGATGGCAATATTTAAATTCTCTATGCTAAAAAAAACTTGAGTCTGGAAAGTAAAATACCTTACTTAATTCTAAGTATTATTTGAGAGGAAATGACAATGATTTACAAAGGAAAACAATCATTCTGACTATGGAATAACACCTGCAGAAGATTGATAGGGAAGGACTGAAAGTCACTCAACTACCAGGAGGTTGGAAAGATGTTTGTATATAAGAAAAAGTTCGAGGAATCAAGTTCCCATAAGCCCCTTTTGAGGAAAAGACTTTTATAAAAAAAATAATAATGAGTCAGAACAGAGATCTTAACAGGAGAAGTGGAAGAGGAGAAGAAACCATAAAACTTGCAAAATATGTAGCTAGAAAAATTGCCTGAGAGCATAATATGTGAGCTATGTAAGTATTCTTAAAAGAAAGAGCCATATTTCAAGGGAAGACCTAATGATGGATTGAAACCAAAAGTTTTTAACTGTCTTAGCAAAACCTGAGTTGTCAAAGTGGTAGAGATGGGGGAAAGAATAAGTAATAGCAGACAAACCAATGAGGCAATAAATCTTGAGGGAGGTTGGGAAGAGAAGAGTTGTATTTTATTTTCATATAATAATAGAAAAATATTAGTTTGATGAGGAATTTTAGGAAAGGGAAATTAACCACTAATGAAATGGTAAATACAGTTAATTGCCTTTCTAAATTAATTGATGTGGTGGGAGTAGAGGGATTGGAATAGTTCGCTTGATCAAATCAGCAGAAACAAAGAACAAAAGAGAGAGGCATATGGATACAGCCAGTCATTAATTAATCTTGTTTTTAGTTTTGCAATGACTGAAATACAAAGGACAGTAAGATTTGAAAAAAGGAAATAGTAATTAATAAAAATAAATACAAAATGTGTGTCATAAAATTTGCATTTTAGAGTTGAGCAAACATTTTGGCTTGGAACTTTCTTTTTTTTTTTTTTGAGACACAGTCTTGCTCTGTCGCCCAGGCTGGAGTGCAGTGGCACGATCTTAGCTCACTGCAACCTCCACTTCCCGAGTTCAAGCAATTCTCCTGCCTCAGCCTCCTGAGTAGGTGGGACTACAGGGGCCCGCCACTACGCCTGGCTAATTTTTGTATTTTTAGTAAAGACGGGTTTCACCATGTTGGCCAGGCTGGTCTTGAACTCCTGACCTCAGATGATCCACCCGCCTTGGCCTCCCAAAGTGCTGGGATTACATGGATGAGCCACCGTGCCCGGCAGAACTTTCTTTTTTATTTCTACCAGCACTAATTTTTCCAGCTATCTTATTTTATTTTTTTGAGAGTCTATATAGTTTGTAAATTGTCTCAAATATGTTTTATAACAAGATATAGTGTATGTTTTCAAAAAATCTTTTATAACAAGAAGTAGCATACATTTCCTTTAAAAAAGCCTACATACAAATATATTTTGAAGAAAAATATGACCCCCAAAAATGAAAAGAAATTTATGAGTGAATGAATGGGCAAAGAGATAGCAGGCAAAGCCAAACAATAAGAAAAAAAGAGTGATAATATTAAAATCAGATAATGAATTTGGATTAAAAAATTCTAAGAAAAATAAGATATAATTGTTTTACACCTTTTTGTATCAAAATACGTAGCAGCTGAACAGAAAGCAAAAATGCATAGATAAGTAGAGTTTAATTAAAATACAATATAGTGGTACTCTTTAATATGACTATTTCAGAACTGGACAGTTGAATTAGACCAAAAAATAAGGATATAAATAAAATAATTGAAGAATATAATTCTGTAACTTTTAAATAGGAAAATACATTGTGTACATATCTGTGGAATATTTATAAGACTTAATTCCATACTTGACCAAAGAAACCATATAGGGCATGCTCTCTAATCAAAATATAATGAAGTTAAAAATAAGTAATTTTTAAAATAGTCTCTAATAATAATTTATAAAAGACGTTAGATCAAAAAAAGAAATCAAATCTGAAATTATAAATGATTTATAGAAATAAGTGAAAATAAAAATACTTCATCAAAAATCTAAGCATCACAATAAAAATTGTGTTTATGATAAAATGTATGTTCTTAATGCCTTTATTATTAAGGAAGAAAGACCAACAAAGGGAAAAGGGGGAAAATGGAATTAAATACTTACTAAGAAACTTTTAACTTATTAAGGCATTAGAAAAAAAAAACAACGGCCGGGCGCAGTGGCTCATGCCTGTAATCTCAGCACTCTGGGAGGCTGAGGTGGGTGGATCATGAGGTCAGGACATCGAGACCATCCTGGCCAACAAATCCCGTCTCTACTAAAAATACAAAAAATTAGCTGGGCATGGTGGCAGGTGCCTGTAGTCCCAGCTACTCAGAAGGCTGAGGCAGGAGGCGGAGGTTGCAGTGAGCCGAGATTGTGCCACTCCACTCCAGCCTGGTGACGGACCAAGACTGTGTCTCAAAAAAAAAAAAAAAAAAGAAAGAAAGAAAGAAAAACAACAAGCAACGAAATCTGCCAAGAAATAGCAAATTAAAAGCTAAATTTGAGTCAATGAAGATAAAAACAAAGAATGTGTATATTCAAAGCTGGTTGTTTGAAAATACCTGAAAAACAACAAGAACAACAAGCAACAACAACAACAAAACCCAAAAAGAATTGCCAAATTATGTTAGAAAAAAGGAACAAAAATATACAAGAATTAGAAACGAGATGGAAGACACAGTCCTAGATGCAAAAGATGAACAAAACGCTGGGAGAGGCACTTGCAACTCTGACAACAAACAGAGGGAAAGGGTGATTTCCTTGTAAAACAATAGGTCTTTAGCACAATGTTTGACATGTGAGTTTAATAAATATCATCTATTATTATTATTGCTATTAGCATGTCACATTCAAATTTTTTTGCCAGTTCATCATAAGACGAAGCTCAAACCTCCCTCGCTGAGAAAAATTGCCAGAAGCTATCAAAGGATAAGTTATTCCCTCATTGTAAACAACATTTATGGAGCACACATTGTGTCTGGCGCATGTTCAGATTCAGTGAAATATAAGATATGGCCTCTGCCTGATAAGAACTTAAAATGTTTAGGAGCTGATGTGTACATGTGAGTAATTATTTCAGATTTTGGGGAACAAGAGCCAATTGACAGTTGAGATCATACCAACTACCAGAGGGCAGGGGAAGGAGAGATCTTTTGTGAGGGTTGATGACAGAATTACTTTATGGTGATGGGATTCCAGTGGAATTCTTAAGGATGGGCTGGATTGAAACAAATTTCTAAGAGGAAAAAGGAGTGCAGGCTGTAAAGCAAATAAGGGACTCAAAGTTTGTAAATTGGCCAGTGTGGCTGAAACAAAGAAATAGATCTCATAGGCAAAGTACATCTCTAAGAGGCAAAGGAAGTAAGAGTATGTTGGGGTAGATGATGAAGAGCTCTGGATTTAAATCCATGGAGTTTAGAATTTGTCCTGTATATAGCACACAGTCATTACAGAGTCCTGAGCAGGCCGGTGACACCATAAGCTGCAGTCTTGGGAAGGCTGCGTTAGCAGCAATATGCTTGGTGGACTTGGGAAGGGGGGTAGACTTGGCCAGGAGCAGCAGAGCAGCCTCAAGGCAGAGGGACTATTGCTGTTATTTTAGGCCTTGGTGAAATCTAGAAATGTCAGTATACCATTCTGCAGACGGAAAAAACAGAAAATGACTTCTGAGCCAAACAGAACAAGGAGGTGTGTAGGCAATAAAACTAAGATGCCTTCAGCAATCCTGGTACAGAATTAGCCACACTTAACCAAATGCCTACTGTCCTCCTTTTGAAGTTAGAGTGACTCTTATTTTTGGCAATACTTCTCAGTTCCTCTAGAGGTGGCAGCTTGGGAGAGAGAACCTCTTTGTCACTGATAGATACACATTCATTTATCCACCATGAATGGGACAAATTTTCTAAAGGAGTTTCCTCAAGTTTAACCTGGGGTTTGACTCTCCATAAAGCGGGTTTCTTCTGCCTCTCCCCCACACACCCCTCCTCCGTGGTCTGTATCCTCTCCAGGAACACAGAGAGTTAACCTTTGCAATTGGATTTGCTCTGTGCAACATGAAGTGTCACCCACAAACGCAGTGTAAAAGGCGCCTGTGAAACGTATGAAAAGAAGTCCAGGAATTCAGTTAATTAACCACATCAGTTTCTTAACGTGATCAATTTTAATTAAACTGAATTTTAATAGAGATCTGTGTAGTCTGTAGAGACCAATTGCTAATTCTACAAAGCATGTGCTGCTTTTCAGTTCAGATTTGCTCCCATCTAATTAATATGGATAGAGCATTAAGCCTTTTTGGACTCTGGTGGTTTTCATTTCATGACTATTAATGATTTTAATGAACTGGACTAATTCAGTAGTTTTCATCCCAGTGTTTCAGGGCTTTGTTCATCACAAATTTCAGGTTTATAATTGGTTTCCAGGTCTTAACAGTGGTCATTGATCAGCTTCAGCAGTTCCTTTTACAACTCGGTAGGCACTGGAGACTCTGTTAACCCTTTGCTGCCTGGAGCTGAGAACAGCACAGTGCTTCAGGACAGAGTCCTGGCTTAACTATCAACCTAACATAGCCACAGGGGCAGGGGAGAACTTAAAATTCATATGGTGATGTTAGCACAGGACAGAACAGAAAAGGTCACCTCAGCAATACGGAAGCTTTAAAAAAAAAAAGACAGGGGATTAGCTTTATTTTTAAGCTTTAATTTTCAATACTCCAAGTGAGATATGCATAATGAAATTATCATTCTTATTTTGGCAAATCACATTTTCTAACTACTCATTGGCCCCTGCCAATCCCTACCAGCCATCTTTATCCACAGCCAAAGAGCTAAGACTAAGGAGTAAGAAAATAGAACTATGAAAAGCTAATAAAAAACAGAAGCAGGGAGACTGGGCTGAGGAGGGAAATAGCTTGGGAAAACTAACACAGAAAAAGAAATGTACACATTAATGAATACGTACGTGTTTTTACATGACTGGGGTCGATCTTCACCATTGGAGAATTGCTTATGGTCCTTTGCTGCCCTGAAAATAAACAATGATATTTGAGCCTCCAATTTAAAATAAAACACAAAACTTTTAAATATTCTGTGTCCAAAGTGACTATTACTGGTGCTGCCTTACTCGGTTCTGAAAAGTGACAGGCAGGATGAATATACAGAAGAGCCAAGGTCACACCACCCAAATAAAGCAAGGTAGAAGAGAGCAGATTCTCTGAAACAGACACATACCTCTTTAATTATCCAAGAAACAGCGACGTAAACACTCAAATTCCAGTCCAGAAATGTAGCTCAGAATCATCAGAAGCGCTTAAAAATCTTGTTTTTGTAAGCCTACCCAGAGAATTTCCTCCTGCCCCCTCACCCACCAATGGAAGAATATACAAATCTTTGCAGAGGTACAGAACTGTAATTCTCAAATGTTCCAGGGTTTTTTTTTTTCCTGAAAATATTCTGCCAGAGATTGAGTTGATCTGGATTCCAAACCCAGTTGAAATCTCTTCAGCAGTTTAATTTGTAAAAAAGATCTTTCTTATTCAGTAAGATTCTTACAAAGATGGTGACTTTTTTTTTCATATCATCTCTGTATTTTCAAGCACAGAGGATCTGAAGAATAAATTAAATGAAGATCATTACCAAGGTAGCATTTAAAATGACCCAGGAGAAAAAAAAATATGTATAAAGCTGAGAACCTTCATTTATTTTATATTTTTCTCACTCCATTCCCCTTGACTCACTCATACTTGGTTTTTTTGATAAGAGTGGTTGACAAATTATGTCTCTGGCCAGTTGAATTTATTTCTTCTCCTATAGGTTAATATATTTAAACAAGCTGCCAGTTATAATAGAGTTGATAGTGTATCTTTAATTCCCGTTCATCTCTCAATCCTTTTCAGTCTTACTTCTGTCCCATAGAGCTGCAGATACGCTCTCCATCTATAAAATGGTGATAATAATGGCTTCCTTGTAGGACCATTGTGTAGATTAGCACACTTAGCAAGGTGGCTCAGTAAATTATGGCTATTACTACTACTCAAATCACCAATGACCTTTTGATTGACAAATGGCTTACGTCCTTATCTGCCAAGCTGTCTGAAGCATTTGACACTGTAAACCACACGTTTTAAAATCCTTCCAAGAAAGCACTCATTTACACCTTTGTTCTTTTAACAAATATATGTGGAATATCAGGCAGTGGTCTAGGCACTGGAGATACCATGTATTTCAGCAGGGCAGAAAGTTCTTGTCTTCTGGGAGTTTTTTTTTTTTTCTAAAGAGGAAAATGGACAAATATGAATCATAAAGTAATAGCTAACATTTATTAAGAACTTAAATTGTACCAGACAACATTCTTAGCTTTTTGCATATTTTAACTTATTTAACTTAAATGAGTATATTATCATGATCCCCATTTTACAGATGAGGACACCAAGGCACTGGTAGTTAACTGTCTTGGTCAGGGTCACAAAGTTTGTAAATGACGGAGTCTAGATTTAAACCAAAGCAGTCTGCTCCAAAATCCAGAAAAAGCATTGGCCACCACCTTGATCTTGGACTTCCCAGCCTTCAGAACTGTAAGAAAATAAATTTCTGTTGTGTAAGGCACCTAGTTGTTTGTGTTTGTTTTGGCAGCCCAAGCTGGCTAAGACACCAAATGAAGTCTAGAAGCCTAGAAGAATAATGCTTCTGAGATGTTTAATGAAGAAGGGCAGAGTACTTGAGAATTTGGAAAGATAAACTTTGACAAGAGGTATTGCAATGGGTTCAAAAGAGTGATGAAAAGGCTAGGTGTGGTGGCTCACATCTGTAATCCCATTGACTCAGGAGGCTGAGGCAGGAGTTTTGCTTGATGCCAGGAGTTCAAGACCAGCCTGGGCAACATCATGAGACCACCCTCATCTCTAAAAATAAAAATAAAAACTCTTAGCTAGGTGTGATGGTACATGCCTGTAGTTCCAACTACTTGGGGGGCTGAGGTGTGAGGACTGCCTGGGCGTTCAAGGCTGCAGTGAGCTATAATTATGCCACTGTAGTCCAGCCTGGGTGACAGAGTGAGATTCCAATTCACTCAAAAAAGGGGGCAGAGGTCGGGAAAATAAAAGCAAACGTAAACAGCTCTTTCAAGGAGTTTTCTTAAAAAAGGAATCAAGAACTAAGCCATGACAGCACTGAAGGACCTTTAAGATGGAAGATAATACATAACGTTTATATGCTGATGGTATAACTTAGTAGACAGAGGAAATTCCATAGGATATGATTGAAGAGGAACAACTGCAGGAACAAAGTCATTGAATAGGGGAGAGGGAAGGAGATCCAACACTCATATAGAGGGGTTGAAATGAGATTCAGGAACAGTTCACCCACTGTTTCAGAAGGGGAGGCGGGGGCTAAGGACATAGTCGGCCTCCCTGTCTGTGGGTTCCACATTTGTGGATTCAACCAACCACAGATCAAAAAAATCCAGGGGGAAGAACAATAAAAAATAACAATGCAACAACAAAAATATAAATAATGCAAATTAAAAACAGTATGGTACAACAATTGTTTACATAGAATTTACATTGTATTATATTTTAAATAATCCAGAGATGATTTAAAGTAAATAATCTAGAGATGACTTAGAGTATATGGAGGATGTGCATTGGTTCTATGCAAATGCTACTCCATTTTATGTCAGGAACTTGAGCATCCTCAGATTTTAGTATTCATGGGGGTCCTGAAACAACTGTATGCACAAGAAAGGAAGGCAGAGTTCACAGATATATTCAAATACCTGGGTAGGACAGAAGATTTGATAGTGTAAAGTAGACAGTTTTCGGTTTCCCTCGTTAAGTGAACATTACATTAGCAGAAACTACGTGTCATTCATAACTGGACACTACTGCTATTATCTACCCCTTGTACAGATGAGGAAACTGAGCCCCAGAGAAAATAAGTAACTGGCTCAGAGAATTCACTCAGGTAGTGAGTAGCAAAACTGGCATTTGAACTAAACCTGCCTCTTTTGATTGTTTTTTTGTTTTGGTTTTTTACTTGAGTGAACTAAAAAAGAGCCACCATTAGTTGAAAGTGAAAAGAAAGAAAATATTTTGGAGTTTGGAGAGTAGAGGACAAGTTGAGATAATTATTTTAGAAAACAGACAAGCAAGTTGAGTAATGAAATATGCAGAATTTCCAGGCTGTGCTGAAGATTTTCTTGAGATTATAAACATAAATTTAAAATGAAACCAGTCTATATGCATTTGTGTTGTATTGCTTTGTTTTGTCTATAGTTCTATTTAACTGATGAAATATAGCAATAAATATTAAATAGGTTTTGGGATTTGCCAGTAGAACATGATGGGAGGGGAGACAGACAAGTTATATAGAAAGTTTTATGATCATCAACGGTGGATCTAAACTGGATGAGGAGTGAGGAGGAATGAGAGACCAGAGAGGGCGATAGGTAGTAAAAGTGGGTAGACTGAAGTGGGTTTGGTAGAGTAGGTAATTTGGAACATGAAAGTGAATATTTATTCATTAAGATTTTGAAGTTTAGAGTGTGAGGTATTTGGCATTAAGATTTTTGGAAAGTCCTAGGGTCAGACCATGGAAGGTGGGGGAGGGAGGTATAGACTTAAAGTGTGTAGGAAACAATGAGGTCAGGGTAATGACGGGCAGGGTGTGGGCATCGAAATTCTCAGGAATAATGGCAGGAGAACAGTGGAGGGAAAGACAGTGAGCCAGTGCTAAAATTTCAGAGGTTGAGAGAAGTGACCAGGGGACAGGAGATTGCAAAACAGGAGAGAACAAATGGTCATTTAATGTCACCTGCTTCAAAGGAGCCAGGGGTTTTGAGGGTGAAGGAAGGGACTAGGGTCTAGAAATAGCAGTAAGGAACAAGAACACTAATCCTCAATTCCAGACCCCAGTGCAAACTCTTTCCATACTTTCTGATGAGTTTGTTTGCTTCGCTTTTGGTATTTTACTCTATATTTCTAAGTAATATGCATACGTTGCCACTTCTTAACTTCACAGTTTTAGGCATTACTTATTGACTTTGAACTTTGGAAAATGAAGATTCTCTTTGACACACGTGTGTGTATATATACACCACACACAAGCACACACACATACTCTCTCTCTAAACCCATTCTGGTTATATGTACGAGTTCTGTTGTTTTCTTTCTGAAAACTTGTAAAAAATTATTTTGGTCTCTAGTGTTTGAAATGTATTATTCTGGGCACATGGTGGACTCCTTCAATCTGGGAACCCATGCTCTTTGGATTGGGGAAAATGTCTTGATTTATTTCTTTGAGGCTAGGTGTTCCTCCATTCTCTCTTCTTACTCTCCTGTTAGTCAGATGTTGCTTGGTCATCCAATGTTCTTATTTCTTCTTTCTTTATTTGCATTTCTTAGTCCTTTTGGTGTAGGGGTTTCAACAGTCCTAGAGCAATTTTTGAGTTAATCCCTCAGTTTGAGATTTCCTTGACTCAAATTTAGATTTTAAAAAGGTATTTTCAAGTAAAGATAGTGATTTCACTTCTTAAAGATTACTGTGCACCCCCTCCATCCCCACCCCATCTACATTTCGGGATAGTCAGCAGGCTTCCTTGTGGTTTCCCAGAATAAGAGGTCAGAGTTTTTCGAGTCCCCTTTTTATAGGCTGGGCAGATCTTTGAGGTCCTTGGGCCCATAGGTGTGGTTCTATCTCTCACGTGACTTTACAATACTCCCAGACCACAGGTCCAATATCTGGTCTGATATCCACATGGTGCCAGCAGTCCCTTCTCATCATTCTGGCTCTGATTTCTTGCTTCAGTTCTGGCATCTGGACATTTGTTTTAAATTCAGCTATGTGGCAAAAAGAGTAGTTTGTTATAATATTTTATTCAAGATTCCATGAGTTTGTGGTGTGAGAAAACAGGCAAAAGTCTGCTATATCTATTACCCTTGTCTTAGGATTCTGCAAACATCACCTTTCCTTTTTTTTTTTTTTTCTTTTTTCTTTTTTTTAGGGGACGGAGTCTCACTCTGTTGCCCAGGCTGGAGTACAGTGGCATGATCTCGGCTCACTGCAACCTCCAGCTCCTGGGTTCAAGTGATTCTTGTGCCTCAGTCTCCCAGTAGCTGGAATTACAGGAGCCCACCACCACGCCTGGCTAATTTTTGTATTTTTAGTAGAGACGGAATTTCACCATGTTGGCCAGGCTGGTCTTGAACTCCTGACCTCAAGAGATCTGCCCGCCTTGGCCTTTCAAAGTGCTGGGATTACAGGCGTGAGCCACCACGCTTTGCCTCACCTTTCCTTTTATATGTCCTGCTTGGGTACTGTACCGGGCTTCTACCTGTTCTCCCTGCTGCAAGTTACTACTTCCTTGTTTCCATTTTCAGTTACTGATATAAAAAACTAACAAACGATCTGATTTTTGTCACTCCAGTCCTTAAAAGCCTCCTTTGGCTTACTATAACTTTCAAGATCAAGGTCATTAGCCAGGTCACAAAGTTACTCAAAACTTAATCCCAATTATTAGGGACTGAATTGTGTCCCCTTCAAATATGTATGTTGGAAGTTCTAAGCCCAGGAATCTCAGCATGTGACTGTTGAGATAGGGTTGACTGAAGTCATATGGGTGGGCCCTTATCTGATATGACTCGTGTCCATATAAGAAGGCAAAGACGCCAGGGACGTGCATATACCAAGAAAGGGCCATGCGAGGACATGGAGAGAAGACAGAAATATGCAAGCCCAGGAGTGAGGCTTGTGGAGAAATAAGCCCGCTAACAGCTTGATCTTGGACTTGTAGACTCCAGAACTGTGAGAAATAAACCTCTGCCGTTTAATCCACCCAGTCTGTGATATATTGTTCTTGCTAACTGTATAGCCCATTACTTCCCTTCCCAATACCCCAAATATGACCAATGATTCACCATCCCTCAATTGTACAAGTTGTTTTTCACAATTGGAAACCTCAGGGAATACTACCATGGCAGATATGTTAGGCTAAATAGGTACCCTCCAAGATATCCAGGTCCTAATTATCGGAACCTGTGAGTGTTAACCTAGATGGCAAAAGGGACTTTGCAGTTGTGAATAAGTTAAGGGTTTTTTCTTTTTCTTTTCTTTTTTTTTTTTTTGAGACAGAGTTTTGCTCTTGTTGCCCAGTCTGGAGTGCAATGGCACAATCTTGGCTCACCACAACCTCTGCCTCCTGCCTCCCGGGTTTAAGTGATTCTCCTGCCTCAGCCTCCCAAGTAGCTGGGATTACAAGTATGCACTACCATGCCTGGCTAACTTTGTATTTTTAGTAGAGATGGGGTTTCTCCATGTTGGTCAGGTTGGTCTCCAACTCCCGACCCCAGGTGAACCGCCTGCCTTGGCCTCCCAAAGTGCTGGGATTACAGGTGTGAGCCACCGTGCCCCGCCAAGTTAAGGATCTTAAGAAGGAGAAAACGTCCTAGGTAATCCAGGTGGGCCCTAAATGTAATCACAGGAGTCTTTATAACAAGGAAGCAGAGGGAGATTTGACTACAAAAGAGGAGGTAGGAAATGTGATAATGGAAACAAGAGGCTGGAGTGATTGGAAGAAGGGGTCACAAGCTGAGGAATGTGGAAGCCTCCAGAAGCTGGAAAAGGCAAGGAAACTGTTTCTCCCCTAGAATATCCAGAAGGAACCAGCCCTACTGATGCCTTGACTCAAGCCCAGTAAAACTAGTGTTTGAACCTCTGGCCTCCAGAACTGTAACTGAATAAATTCATATTATTTTAAGCCACCAAGATTGTAGAAACTTGTTACAGAAGCCACGGGCAACTAAAACACCACGGACATTTTGAATTACCTCTTCAGAGCCGGATTTTATGCCATTTCCTCTGCAAAGCCTTCCCTTATTCCCTCATACAGGATAATGTCTCCTTATTCAGTTTCCTTGAAACATCTGTCCTACATTAGTAGGACATTATTTAAAAATCTACTATATTAGATTCTTTGAAACTTTATTATTATTATTATTATTATTATTATCATCATTTTTTGAGACAGAGTCTTGCTCTGTCGTCCAGGCTGGAGTGCAGTGGCACGATCTCGGCTCTCTCCAAGTTCCGCCTCCCAGGTTCACACCATTCTCCTGCCTCAGCCTCCCAAGTAGCTGGGGCTACAGGTGCCCGCCACCACGCCCGGCTAATTTTTTGTATTTTTAGTAGAGATGGGGTTTCACCATGTTAGCCAGGATGGTCTTGATCTCCTGACCTCGTGATCTGCCCGCCTCGGCCTCCCAAAGTGCTGGGATTACAGGCGTGAGCTACTGCACCTGGCCAAAACTTTATTATTTTTAAACAATTACAATTACACCAAAAGTTACATAAATAGTATCGTGTACCCTTCTCTCAGCTTCCTCCAATGTGACATCTTACATGACTATGATACAAAATCAAAACTGGAAAACTCGCGTTGGTACAATACTGCTAACTAGACTACACACCTTATTCAGTTGTCATTAACTATGTTGGGTTTTAATTATTTTTTACACTAGATTGTGAGTTCCTCAAAGTCTGGGATCACTTACCTCATTTGTCGTGATATTCGTAATGCCTAATGAACACTAGCATCTCAATAAATGTTTTACAATAAGTGAGATGAGAAGCATGGAGAGAAGACTGGAAAGGAGATGAGATGAGATAAACTCAAGCTTGTTTGTTCACATTATTTTAAAAATTACTGTTGTATCTTTGGGCTGGAAGCAGAATGAAAATGGAACAATAGTCTTGCATGACATTAAAATTTTAGTGATATTTCAATGCTTTACTCTGACTTCTAGGTATATATTTTCACATTTGGAAAACAACACATGAATTTGTATTACATGTACTGTACCTCATTCCAATTAAGAAGTTCTTTTAAACAATCATTTAATAGTTCGGATGTTAAAAACTTTTATTTTACCTAGCTAGTATTTTGGTTAGGATTTTCCAAAAAGAATAGCTAAAAAAATTATCTAGTATTTATTTTTCTTGCTGAGTTCCACCTCAAAAAAGTCCTATATTAATGAAAAGTTGTCTTACATGAGAAACTGAGAATACAGGGAAACATTTGAAAGGCTTATTGATGAAACTTGAGCAGTTGCATGTTCTTCCGTAGCCACAGTTTGAAAATGAAACATTTCTTTTCTATTTGGCAATTTAAAGTCGAATATATGTTTTATTTCCCAGCTAAGCTACATTTGTGCATTTAAATGATGTTAAATCATTCTATGAGACAGAAAAGTTCAGCCATAGGTCATCAAAGGTGAAGTTATCTGATCCTGGAAGGAACACCAGAGATGAGAGCTCGTGTGTCAAATCTGCTCTTCAGCTATTGCTGACCTTGTTCTATAGACCAACTTAGGGGACTTTAGGAAAAACAGAGGGAAGGGATGACAGTCACTATTTGCCTACTATGAACAGAGGTAATGTACATGATCTCTTTTAAACACATTGTAGATCATTATTAGCCCTAATTTTCAGATAAGAAAGTAGAATTCAGAGATTAAGCAATTTGTCCAAATCACAAAACTGTTACACGAAGAGCTGGGGTCTATCCCACTTTGACCTCTAACCTTATACTCTTTCTTCTGCAGTTGATGACTTTCTGCAAAAGCAGTGGCTTTCTACGTTGACTGAACAGTAGAATCACCTGGGTAGCTTCACAAACACCCAAAATGTAGGCAGCACCACTCTGGGAGTGGGGCCCAGGTATCTGTATATTTAAAACCTCTCCAGGTGATTCCAGTGTGCAGGAAAGTTTAAGAATGAAGGAGAGGCCTCAAAATGGAATAAATAGAAGGCATCCCAGATAGTCTGATTTGAGAAGCATAGAAGGGACCCCACGTCTAATAATAATCTCCCAAAGTGGACTTCTATGATGCCTAATATTCCTATCATCTTCATCATTTATTTGGGTAAAAGTATCTGTTCTCCAGAAGGCCACTGTTAAAATGCAAATAAGTCACTTAATAGGAGAAATGCATTAATATATGATTGTCCAAGCCCGGATTACATGATTGTGTCTTGGTCAACATTTTTAATCACCACCTTGGAGAAAGATGCACAAGGTTTGCTCATTAAATTTGCAGCTGACACAGACCTAGAAAAGCTAGCTCATTTGTTAGAATCTGAGATCAGACCTTCCCATCCTGTCTCCTCCCCCACAACAAAATTCTCTAGAGGCTGAAACACTGGATTCAAATGAAGAATTAATATAAAGTCTTGAGAATGCAGATTCAAAATATGAACAGCATAAAAACCTGATTTCAAAATAACTCATGTGGAAAAAATTCTAGAGATTTTAGTACACGTTAAGCAGTATATGGATCCAATAATATGACCTTGCTGATAAAAATGAGGATGAAATCTTAGGTTTCATAAATAGAGGTGTCACATTCAGCTCAAGGGGTGTGACTGTCCCTTGACCTGTAGACTATTTAAGTAATATTAGGGAAATTGTGTTTCCAAAGAGACTGAAAAACTAGATAGTGTCCAGATGAATGGTGGCAATCAGAATGCAGAAGAACCTGGAAACTACATCAACCGAGGAAAAAGCACAGCTGAGATGTCATTTTGTCTGTGGGACTTTCCCAGAATATCCCCATATACTTAACTAGAATAATTTCCTCCTTTTCAATGCATTGTTCTTGGTGCATTTTAATCTCACATAACATTATAGAATAGTTAGTGGTATGTTTATTTCCTGAAAAATTGTTATGCTCCTGAGGCCAATGACTGTGTTTTATTCGACTTTATTTTCCAACACCTTTTTCATGGTAGATATTACTGAATCACTCTTGTGACATCCTTTGCTGATTGGCTTTCATTTTCTTGAAATTCCCTAATTTAAATTTGCTAAAAGAAATATATTGCTTGGCATGAGCTAGGTAACAACCTCTCAGGGATGGGAATATCTGCGTAGGGTTGGCAGTTAGACTAGATCGTATTTATTTCTACTGAAGATTCCGTGATTCATAGATTCCTCTAATTCATGGTTGGTTTAACAGCTGGCAAGCAGAGAATACAGTTCTGAAGCGATGGGAGCAAAGGTGGTATATTTTCACTAGACCGTATAGTGAAATGAAGGGAGGGGAAGTTAAAGACCTGTGTAATTCACAAAGAGTATAAGTCTTGATGAAGGGCTAATCTGATATGGAAGCAGTGGGAAAATTAGTACATCAAAGAGGATGGCATGCAAAAAGAAAAAAAAATCCATTTTTTTTCTAATTTCTCAGGTTAAACCAGATATGACTATAAAAGATTTTCTGCATCTATTTACAATCCTATTCTTGTTCCATTCTTTTGTTCAAGTTTGGTTCATAGTTTCTCTTATAATGAAAAAAAAATCAAGTAAATTTTATGTGACTTCTGTGTCTGGCTCTGTTGGAATACCTAGGGATACTTCATGTATCTGTTGTATCACAAATCACCCCAAAACTTAGTGACATAAAAAAGCAACCATTTTATAATGCCCATAAACTCTGTGGATCAGGAATTCAGAAAAAACACAGTGGAAATGGCTCTTCTCTACTCCTTGACGTCTCCTTGAGCCTCAGCTAGGATTGCTCAAACAGCTGAAGAGCAAGAAGAGCTGAGGCTGAAGGACTGACTTCCATGATGCTTCTTCTCTTGTATATATGGAACTTGGAAGGGATCTCTAAAGAACAGGCTCAGATTGGACTGTTCACAAGACCACCTCTGTGGTCAATTCAGTATGGCAGTCTCCAAGTAGACTTTTAAGATGATGTTTTATGGCTTTAAGAGCAAGTGTTCCAGCAGCATAAAGCAGATGTTGAATGGCCATTTATGAATTCTGCTGTAATCCATTAGTTGAAGTAGTTCTAAGTCTGCCCAAACTTAAGGATAGGGGTCAAAGATCTCACCTCTCAAAAGGGATCAAAAAGGATTTACAACCATGTGTTACCACCACAGTAACAGACTAATACACTTTCTGAGAATGACCATAAAAATCAGATTAATTTTGTTTAAATAAGAAGAGGAGCCCATCAAGAAACTGCTGATGTAAATAATCTTGAAATGCTAAGATGCCAGTGAGAAGGAAATCACAGAGAGATTTTATAACCACTTTTTTTCTTCAGGGCATTTGTTGATTTTTGAATGGGAAGCCAAGAATTCACTCAGAGGGCCAGGACATACAGCTTCTGTTAAAAGGCAGAGAAGTCAGTGGAAAATTTGGCAATCTCACAGGGCTACAGAGCCAAAAATTAGAGTTTGGAACTGCCACAATAGCCAGAATTTGGTGATGGGGTGGGGGAGGTGGAGGCAAGATTCTGATTAGAAGAAAGAAGTAAGCCCAGATCTCTGCCTGTTTTCCCTTAAGACATTTGCTGGTTCTACAGAAAAGGAGAATAAGAATCATATAATAAAGCACGTGTTTCTACTTTCTCTTGGTTCTGGGAAGACAAAAAAAAAGTGACACTCGAGTACTTGGGACCCACTTTAGGGAGGGGGCCCTACTAGATACGTCAGAATATTGGTTGGAAAACCCTGAGGATGACAATCTAGGAGCATGGACAAACTAGATACATAATTTTGGAAAACTGGAATCCATCCTGGAATTAGCTCAGTGCCCATGTGGCTTAAAGGAGCCTGCTACCATTCTATTTGCTTACCGAAGGATAATATCAACTCTGTGTAGGATAATATGGCATTATTAAGTGCCTCTAATACTTATTTTAGCAATATATGGCTATTAGTAAAAAATATATCCCGGTATGTCAAAAAACAGAACCAAGAGAAAAAAATGACAACAGAAACAGACCTGCAGATGACACATTTCTTAGTGTTATTAGGGATAGACTTTAATGTAGTTGGACTTAATACATTCAAGAAAACAGGTGTTAATATGGAGAATTTCACTAGATACCTGGCCTTTATTTTGAAAACAAAATAGAAGTTATGGAATTAAGCCATAATAGCTGAAACTTGAAATTAAGACTCAATAGATGGGTTTACCAGCAAATCAGACATAGCAGAAAAGTTGATTACTAAATTGGAAGATAAATTGGTAGAAAATATCCAGGCCAAAGCACAGAGAGCTAAAATGATAGAAAATAGGAAAGATCATAGAGACATATGGGACATAGTGAAAAGCTCAGAGAAAAATAAAAAAAATTTTGAAAGGATAATCGTAAAAATTTCCCAAGACTGACAAATACATCGGCCACAAGAATCCCTATGAACTTCAAAAGAGCAACAGGCAAAAAACCCAACCAAGGAAACAAAGAAACAAAAAATATACACCAAACCACAGCAGAAAAATCTTCTCACCTAAGCTCAGAATAATAATGTTTCCGAAAGAAAATAAATAAGAAAACAAAAAAGCAGCCAGAGATTTTTTTAATGTATTGCTTTTAAAATAGAAACATTAAAATTTACAGTTGCCTTCTCAACAGAAATGATGGAAGTCAGAAGACAGTAAAACAAACTGAAAGAAAAATGTTAACGCAATTTTATATTTGGTAAAACTATTTTTAAAACTGAAGGTCAAATAATGATGTTTTTAGACAGGCAAAAATTGAGTGAACTCATCATTAGGAGACTGAAAGAAACACCAATGGACAGATGGAAAATGATCCTAGAAGGAGCTGTGAAAATATAAGAAGGAATGAAGAACTAAGTAAAGGTTAAATAGTTAGATAAATATAAATGACTATTGAACATACAAAACAATAAGTATGTCTTTGGGGGGCTTAAGATGCACAGAATTAAAATACGTAATAACAATAACAGAAAAGCCCAAAGTGAGTAAATGGAGATAAAGTATTCCAAAGCCCTTGTTTTATCTGTGAATGGCTAAAAATATTCATTTTTATATAAATCAAGGCTGTATGTTACTAAAAGAAGGTATAACTAACAAGGTTCTAACTAACTAA
The DNA here is from genome assembly GCF_000001405.40 of Homo sapiens. NCBI lineage: Eukaryota > Metazoa > Chordata > Mammalia > Primates > Hominidae > Homo > Homo sapiens. The sequence goes on along the minus strand of NC_000011.10, from coordinate 30,761,253 downwards.
AGTATAACTAGCCTGCTTCAAGATATAGACTGCAAACATTGGATTTACCCAAAAGAAGTTAAGAAAGAGAAGGGGAAAGAAAATAACAAGTGAGACAAACAGTCAATAAATAAAGATAAACCCAAGAATCATATGTGTTTTAAATACTACAACTTAAAAACCAAAATGGTAAGACTAAACAGAATTAAATTCAACTATATACTTTTTAGACCTTAATTAAAAGGACACACCTACTTTGAATGGGAAACATAGAAAAATCAGGTAAAATAATATACAAATCAAGTGAAATAATAGCCTGAAAGGATTCAGAGACGATTTGCTGTCCATCATGCTGACTCTTTCATTTTATGTATCGGGATGCTGAGGCCCAGAGTGGCAGCAAGTCAGGTAGACTAAGGATTCTACAGGATTCTGACTCCTGGCTCTGTCATTTTCATCTAACACCATAAATGGGAATTGTCATACTTTCCATCGTGTCTCATTGATTCCCAAACCAGAATGCCATGTTAATCTGAGTAGAGCCCATTCATGCTGGACCAACTGTGTTTGAGGAAAACAGAATCCTAAGAATATCTTTCTGAAATGATTTCCTTTGTGGAATCTGTGAGAGACTTTTGATTTGCACAGTATGATTGATTTGTAATCTCTGCTGCCCAGCTCAGAGGATGGATGCATGGGCAGTGAGACATCCCTCTGCATGATTCATTTTTTTTTCCCTCATTCCCTTTTCACTTTCTTTCCCATTCAAGATTTATGACTGGGGAAAAGATAAAAGAAAACACAAATGCAAACCCTAAGCCAAGAGTGTTCCTGACTATATTTCAGCTCTCTTAACAAATTGCCTGATCAAGTTCACCCAGCTCAGTCAACAAATCAGATGAGAAATTTTAACCCATTGCCCACCAGTATCACGTTGGTGGGGAAGATGACATTTATTTGTCTAACATGACCATGTATTAAAATTAGATATGAATTGTAATACAAAAATAAAATGTTAGAACTAATTGTGGCAGGTGAGGTATTAGTGTGGTTATCCATTTGAAACAATGAGATCAAAGCTACCTTTATCTCCAAAGACAAAAATGATAGTGGCACAACTTAGAGCCCTGACTTGGGGTCTACTTTTGACTTGTCTGTCTCTTCTGCTTTTCCTGACAGACCTGAGCAGCAGCCTCAAGTTTTTCCCGGTGTCTGGGTTAATTAGAAATAGAGCAGGAAGTTTATACAGCCTGAGGCTTTAGAATTAGATTATATGGTCAATCAAGCTCATTAGCTGTCATAGCAGGGATAACCCAAGAAGTCTTTAAAGCCTCTGAGTTATAATATTTCCTCCTCCAAGACTACAGACTTAAGGACTTACAATTATACCCCTTTCCTTAGTCTTCCCCACTAATATAATAGCTAACATTTCTTAAACACTTACTATGAGCTCAGTATCTTATATGCTTCTTTCATTTAATCCTCATAACAACCCTATGAGGTAAGCACTGTTGTTACTACCACTTTACAGATGAGGACACTCATGTTCAAAGGGATTAAATAGTACCAAAGCCAGTCACCTAATCAGTGGCCAATATGGAGTTTGAATCCAATGGCCTACAGTCCTTAGCACCCCATCTGTCTCTAGGACAAAAACTCTGACTTGGATCTCATCTGACTGTCTGGGTCCCTGATAGCCTGCTAACCCCTTCTTAGACCCTCAGCCTGAGAGTGGAATCTTTCTGCATGCTCTACAATCTCAAGATCCAGGGAAGAATTCTGTCTTCATTGGCAGTTACAATTTCCTTCCTGAAAGTTTCAACTCTGGCCTCCCTCAAACAGTTCTCTCGCTGCTTCTAAGCTTACAATATCCTTTGGACACCGTGTTTCGAACTGTACAACTGCTTTTATGAGTACCAGCTGCCAAATCTCAACCAGCCTCTCCTGGTCAGTCCTGGCGCTTTTGCTGTTGTCAACAGAAACTTTGGCTTTCCCGTTCCCAGCATGCCTGGCTCCTGAGTGTGCACCCGCCATCGCCATCGCAGTCTGCGGACACATGCAGACTGTTTAACTGGAGCATATAATCATTTCATAGTAAACTCCTAATAAGGCGTTCCCAAGAGTATCAGCCTCTGTGACAGCTTGTCAGACACAAATTTCAGGCTGCCTTAGGCTGCCAGGTAGAATTATGAACTGTTGCTGTTTTCTCTGTTTTTCAGTTAGTTATCTTTTGCCATTCTAAATCATTTAAATGATTTGCGGATTTTATCTCAGCTTTTTTTCTTGATGATATATTCCTCCCCTCCTTTCATTATTATTTTTAAATAAAATTCCTCAGACTTAGCAGGAAAGGCCACTTGAAAGTAAAGTCTCACAAAACAAAATAAATGAGGAGCATAGATTTCCCTCTGTGACCATTTTGTCACTCTCTATGCATTAAGCAACTGTGCATTAAGCTTAATAACTTTGGACTAATGTTCAAAAGGGACAATGGAAGCCTTGGAAGTGACACTGTGAATACTGAAGTCCAAAGGGTAAAGAGAAAGTGATATCCTTCTTACGGCTGATGAGGGAGTGGCCTCATAAAAGGGAAATGAGGGTGTTAGTCTAGATGATCACTGGGGTCCCTTAAAGTTGTAAAATTCTAAGTGGTCAAGGGGGACAGCCCCAATATGATGGGTTAAAGTGTGAAGGTAATCACTAACACCATACTTGGCCCTAATAATTTGTCTACTTCTTATTGATCTGAATGGATATATTGCTGTTAATATCCCAGCAATAATTTGCAGAGGGTCCCTTGAAACTATGTTATAGATTTCAGTGCCATGTAAAGGTTCATGGTTATTTTCTGGCCTGTTACTGAGTCTAAAAAACTCATATCTCTTGAGACTCTTGGTTGGAAACCTTAGAAACCAACACTGGCTACTTAGCAAGAGGATTTATTGGAAGGAAGGGCAAGTCACAGAATCAATGGGAGGCTGGAGGACCTAGCATAGAAAATACACCAACATGAAGTGACTCTGGGGGCTGGAGAGGAAACTATGTCTTATCGAAGGAAATGTCTGGTCCTCAAGCCACACCTACTGCTGTGATGCACACAACCTCTGAACGTTCCCTCTGACTGAGTCACCAAACAGCCAAAGTTCTGAGAATAAGAATCACACTGGCACCTTGGTCACTGTTTCCCAGTTGTACCAGGGGCGCTGAAAAGGAATATGATCTCCTAGACTTCTATAGTGGGAGGTAGTAAGAACTGCCTTCCCATTAAATCAACATTCAAAGAGGACTTCCACCCAAAAAGAAATTGGGGAGGAGTATGATCAAATGCGAGACAGCCAAATGAAGATCAAATGTCTGCGACAATACTATATTACAATAGGGTGTACATCTACATATGTTACTATGTGGTATACCTAGTGTATTCAAAATATCATGAGCTTTAGGGTCAGATAGACTTTATTAAAAACCTAGCCCTGCCACTTTCTAGCTGTGTGACCAGGCTGATGTGTTTTTAGCTCTGGGATTCTCAGACAATTCTTTCTCCTTTTGTCCTTATAGGCTTAAGGACATGATTCATACAAAAGCTAGCACACAGTAGGTTTTTATTATTTTACTTTTCTTGGAGGAAGACATGCTCCTCATTTTGTATCTTAAATAGTGGCTAGCCAAGCAAAGCTTTTCTAAAAGACTTTGACAGAGAGTCTTTGAAATGAGGAAATGGAATGAAATGTAGTAATTAGTAGCATACAGATAGCCTGAGCCCTGTTCCACAAACAGGAAACCTGTACCAGGATCTGGGAGGGACACCTTTTCTCAGCGTTTATACCAAATGGTAAAGTATCCTTTGCCTTGATAATTGGATGTCTCTCCCTTCGATTGAGAAATTAGATCTCTTCCTCCTTTCGCCACCACCCATATATTTTACTTTATAATTTAGAATGCTGGAGTGTCTCTGAATTTTGCCAGTGCATTTGCTTAGAATTAATGCTATTATCATAAAGGGCCAAGTTTTTAAATTTATTTTCATGCTAAGTTAGCGGGAAAGATCAAAGTCCTTTCATCTTATGACTGAACTGCTCAAGCATCTAAAAATGCCTTCAGGACTTCAGATAGAAGCCACCACAGTACATGATACATTCTTTTTATAGACTTACAGGTCTGTGAGCCTTTTTTTTTTCCTTCTTGGCAACCTAATACAGCTAGCTACTGCATCATGTGGCAAATGAAACAAAGAGGTCTGCTTTCATTAGCCACACTTCCTTAACTAAAAATGCTCAGTCTACTGTGTGTAGTTTTTTTTTTTTTTTTCCCAGCAGAAAGATGATTCTGACCTGAGCTTTTTCAAAACAAAATTTTAGGGTCTTTAAGAAAATTATCCACTATTAACTTCAGTTAACTAAGAAAGAAATTGATATTTGTAACCGTATTTTAGAGCGTATATTAAAGCTTCTGATGTATATTGGTGAGCCGAGCCAATTTCATCAAATTCTCTCAGGCCTGCCGTCCTCCAAATCTAACTATGTAAGACATCCAAATATTAAAGAAAATCCCTGTCTTTTGGGAAGGGGTGTCTGGAATGTTCAAATAGAAAAAGTAAATATAACTTCATGGTTATTTTCTCTACAATTATATGTACAAATGTTTGGTTGTGAGCATGCTGTTTACCATAAAAACTGAAAGCAACCTAAATGTCCAGCGGTAGAGGGTTGAGTAGACAAAATATGGTCTATCTCTATAAAAGAAAACCTCATTATTAGTAATAAGGAAAAATGACATGGAAATTTCATTTCACTATAGGTAAAATAAAATTTAAAACAATACATTCAATATGATCTCAACTTTGTAAATACACAGAGACACAAACAGAAAAAAGACTAGGATGACATTCCAACCGCACAGTTATTTTTTCACTAAGTGATACAATTGTAGTTGGTTTTTATTTTTTTCCTTTTGTGTATCTGTATTTTCTAGAAGTACAGCAAAAAGAATTAAAAACAGTAAGTTATTTAATATAGCAACAAGATATGATTGATGTTATTTTGTTTTCAGACTCAACTCTCAAACTTACATCAGATATTAGCAGTGTTACTCACTTCTGGATAAAATATCAAAGTCGTGGAGCAAAGGGATGAATATGAGACTTACAAACCTTGGATGTGTTCTTTCCTTCTACTTAAAATTCTTTAACTCCATCCCTAATATGAATATTTGGCTAGATGGTGCTGACACACTTGCAGATATTTTTCTTTCTGAGTTAAGCTTCAATTAAATCCTTCATCATCCTGCCTAATGAATGTTTATATATTTGAATATGGCCACTACAGTTAGTAGTTAGTAACCCCAAACATCAACTTACTGAAAAAAAAATCCTGATGTATAATAATAAATTGTGTGGTTTTTTTTTTCCCGAACTCTAAAGTATTTATTCTAGTACTGAGAAAAAGTTTGAGTCTGTTTCTTCCAGGCCCCCTGCACTGGTGATTTGTTCCTGGCACAAGCACAGCCTTAAATCTTCACCCCGAAATTAGAATTCTTCTTCTGAAGTCTCACATACTGGTGAAGTGAATGGCTCTGGTGTCGGAATGCCTGGGTTTAAATTTTAGTTTCATCACCAGCTAACAAGCTGTGTGGCTTTGGGCAAGTTAGTTAACCTCTTTATGTTTCAGTTTCCTCCTCCATAATAGGGGAAAAATATTGGGGCTTACCCCATGAGGTTACAGTGAAGACTGCTTGAATTAATACACGTAGAATTTAAAACAGTGACACGTAGTAAGTGTTCTATAAATAAAAGGCATGCTGGCCATTTTCTCTTTGCCCTCCTTATCCCTTCATAAATCCATCCTCATACTTCTCTGTCTTGCTCGGGGCCCACAGAAACTGACCTCTATAGACTGCATTCCCCAACTTCCTCACCTCTGGCTTCCAGTTGGGTTTGCCAGTAGATTGTAGGGCTGGAAAAGACAGATGTTCCAGAATTTATTCCTCCTTGTCTCTGCTGCTCCCTTTAGGGATCGGGTAGTGGCTGCATTCTTCTATGGCTACAGTTGGGATGGCAACAGCTCCAGATAGGCAGCCCCTCTCTAGAGCACCCATTTTCATCATATTTCTCTAACGCCATTCCCTTCTCTTGTTTTTCCGGGCCCTGGGACAGTAACAGCTCCCAATTGTTGCTAATTCCTGGGTGCTTCACCATGCTTTGTTCGTTCCCTGAAGCCTGCCCATGTCTATTGAAATTGTTTCTTCATTAAATGTTCTCTAGTTAATACCTTTTGAGAGAGCCAAGTGCTTCCTGCTGGGACCCTGACTGATGCAACTGAACATTATTAATATATGTGTCCCTTTGCTCATAGCAGTATTGCAGCCATAAAAAATTGTTGAGCATAAAAGTGATCCTTTTATTGAACATGCAAGATACCAGACAACTTTCAGATTCTTCTGAATTATGAATGCCTCAGGTTTGCTAAACCAGCTGAGAATCACACTGGTGAAATCTGAAGGGTGGAACTTTTAGTTGCTGTTTTATTTGTGCACCAGGAAATCTGCTGCTTAGAAATCATACTAAGCTTTGGGTTCTTTTAAGATTCTTGTCTGCTTATGCACTGTCTTTTTTCAAAGTGTTCAAGAAAAATGCCTGGTTGTGATTTCTACTACATTTATACCAGGCGATAGTTTTCAGTCAATTAACTATTCATTCATTTATTCATCAAATATAAATTGAGGGCCTGCTCTGTGCCAGGGGAACACACTGCTGGGGAAAATATTGAAAGCAGAAAACAGATGCAAGGCACAGTCCTTGTGGAACTTAACTTTCTAATTAGGGGAAAAAATTTAATTCTCTGAATGAATGTAAACATACATACATACATACACACACACACACACACACACACACACACACGGTAAAATTATAGCTGTGACAGTGCCATGAAGGGAGGCACATGATACCAAAAGAGTCTTTAATAGAGAGATGTGATCTATCAGGAGATAAGAGAAGGCACTCTCAATACGGTGACATGAGATAAGACCTGAAGAATAACAAAGAGTTGATAAGGGAGAGAATTTCAGAAAGGGGAAAGAGCATGTGCCAAGGCCCTGTGGTGAGTGTGGGCTGTGGTGAGAACTGAAGGGATCAGTGTGGCCAGAGGGCAGGAAAGGGAATACATGATGAGGCTGAGGGGAAGCTGAAGGCTAACAGGATGGGGCCCTTAAAGACCATGTTCAGCAGTTTGTCTTATTTCTAAGAGCAATGGGACACCATTGGAGGATTTTTAAGCAGGGAATGATGTGACTGGGTTTTGAGTTTTTCAAAAATCATTTTGTCTCTACAGGAGTTGTTGTTCTAAACTCTAGGATTCCAGACCAAAAAAAAAAAGTTAAAATAAGAATAGAGAATATTCACTAGTTTCTTTGCAGGTGATTAGATAGGAACTAAAATAATTCATCCTAACCAAAAGGATTCTTCTCAAGGCCTCAGTAGTGACAGGTAATTTCAAGACGTGATCGTTATACGTGTCTGTTTCTAATCAATCCCTGATTCTACATTTCAGCAAGTCAACACTGCTACATATTTTTGTAACTTTCTGGTAATTTTCATGTCACAGCTGTCACTGGGCTCCCTGCTGGACCCAAGTACGCATAACTAATTAATCAATCAATCAAGGAGGAGGGAAAGTCATGTCTGATGCTACGATGAGGATCTTTGCTTGCTAAACTCAATGACTAGTTTAGGGTAGGATTAAAAAAAACAAGGAGGCCTTCTTAGGAGGCAGAATTTGCAGATTTAAAGATAATTCCTAAGGCTAATGATCTTGTAATTTAGAGTGTGTGCACTGTGGTTACCTGCTGGTTATTCCATACTATCAAGGGAAGCAAATCTATGGCTGGAACCCCCTTTGCTACCCCATCATCAATATGGAGGGAGGCAGGAGGCAGGGAAATGGAACAACAGGGAGAGGGAAGAATTCCTGGGTCAGGAGTCAGGAGTCTGGTTCTAGCTCACCCCCTAATCCACTATCTATATAAACTTGGGCAAACCATTTTAGCTCACAGGGCCTCATTTCTTCATCTGTGAAAATTAGTCCTATTGAAATTAAAGAGAGGAATCCATCAAGGGAAGCAGTCAGAACTTCAAGTATGGATGGACACAGGATGCCTCCAGACTTGAGTCCTTGGCACTCTGGATCCAGAAAGCTGACTCTGTTTACCCACAGCTGACCATGTTAATTAAAGCTTGCTGCTTTACCTTTTCAATAACCAGGAGGAATGGCAAAGAAGGTCTATCTTACGTGTTTTACTCGTCAGATTAGGTCTGATTCTTCTGCTCCAATGGACAAAGCCTAAAGCTCAGTGGTGCTTCCCAATAGAGGTGTATCATATAAAATATTTGCACACATGGGGCAGTGTACCTGCAGAACCAGCCTAATCTGGTTCAATTTTGTGTAATAAAATGGTGACTTGTTTTTCAGTTGCCATGGAACCCACGTTGCAAGTTATGTAACCTGAGCATACCCAGATGAGTGAAGTGCACAGCCACTGGCGGAACCTAGGTACTTGGACCAAGGAACAGGGATTGAGTTAAGACGTGAACACCACATGCTGGCGTGATCCATGATCCAATCAGATTGAGCCCTGGCATCACCCTCTGGTAAGATCCAGTCAGATCACACCTCCCAGCATCACTTCATTGCAGGATCCAATCAGACCATGCCTCACTACCCTCTACCTACAAAACCTGCCCCACCACCCAGCTCAGTAGGACAGATTTGGGTGTTGTCTCCTGTCTCCTTGCCAGTCAACCCACAACAAGCCTTTCTACAAAATCTTCGTGCTTTGGTGTTGGACTTTCTGTTGCACGTGGGCAAAGAGACCAAGTTTGGTTCAGAAACAGCAGCCATCTTCCATTTTAAGTCATGCATCCTGGAACACATGACCTCTAAGATCGTCACAATAAAGAAAGAGTAGATGGGGGAAGCACATCAGCTTTCAATTGCCTTTGCCCAAAAGTGACACACATCACTTCTACTCATTATACATTGGGTAGAACTAGCCATATGGCCTAGTGTTTGGTCCATGGGAAGTTGGGAATAGTAGAATAAATGAAATTTAGGTGAGCATGGTCACATGACAACTCCAATCAATTTGTAGAAAAATACCTGGATAGCTGGTGGAAAAGGTACTGAGTCTGATCCAAATTCAGCAAGGAAAAATGCCATGCACAGGCATAGGGCATGGTGGTATACTGTCTGGCAACACATTTCTCCTTCAGCCAGAATATACTTTTTATCTTTTTGATGTCTCTGAGAAGTGAAATTAGTCAAGAAGAGGTCATGTGATTGGTATAAATTAATGGGAAAGGACATTAGAAAGTCTTTGGGATATTTTAACCTGTCTATGAAAAACTAGTAAATGAGTAACTACTTGAGAGTTAGATGGAGTTCTTAACCTAGTATCCACAGACACTGAGAAGTCATCTATGGGGCTTCTGGTGGATCTAACTAGCAATATAGATTGTCTGCAGACCTGTGTATGCTTGTAAATATGCAAAGTTTCTGGCTACTGTGGTCACATATGGAGCTAGGAGTGCATATAACCCAAAGGAAATAACAGAGATGAGAGCAAACATTTTGCTCCCTGGAATCAGCATCCTTAGGTCTGCTCATCTTGGCTTAGGGAAGGAAGATTTACTTCAGCAACCGGATGCTGCCCACCTCATGATGCTGCCCACCTTCCCCAGCCCTGCCTACTTAACTCCCTGGACTTCATTCATTGCTCATCCAGATCTGTGGCACCAATTACATTTCACAGGAACAGCTGGTCTGCCAATCCTAGACACTCCAAAACAGTCTGTCCTATTATTGCCTCCATCTGACAAGACCCAGGAGAGAGGAAAAGAAACCTAGCTCTGATCTTGAGGGTATGTCCAGGGGTGTCAGTTTTCTCCACTGTAAAACTCATACATTGCACAGTGTGCTTTGTTTCCCAGATTTTTGGCATCCATTTCACTAGTGGTAAGTATTTTAATTTAAATAACAGGGCATGCAACCTGTGATTTCACAAAAACGCAAATAAAACAAAAAGCAGAGGAAGAAAAGAGATTAGAGGAAAAGTGCCTGAGTAAAGATTAATTTCTACCATTTATGTTTGTTAAAAATATGTGAGTATGTCTTGTACTAAGCACTTTCCATATCCGAGTTCACCTTTGCTGTGAAGGAGGAACAGTTACAAATGGAGAGACAGAGAAGGCAGAAGTTCAGTCACGAAGCCAGGATTTACATTCAGATGGGTCTGACATTATAGCCCATACTGCCTCCAAACCACACAGCTACACTGCCCCACAAAGCGCTGAGAGAAGATGACAGAAAAAAATCACAGAGAAAGCGAGTCAAAGTTGAAATGGGTGGGGGGGACAGGGGAACAGTGGGGCAGGACAGTGGTGGGGTTGGGGATTGGAAAAGAGAAAAAGTAAAACCTTCCTTGTGGCCCCAGTGGGTCGAATAGATTGAAAAAGCTTCTCAGCAAGGAGGTGTTTGAACGACACATTTCTCCTCGTATCTGAAGGGCAACAGGATGATGGATTTGTGAGTCTCTGAGAACCTGCACTGTGAGATGGAAAATGATCAGATGAGTTTAGCGCTTTGGAAAACAGACCAGAAGCTCCTGCCACTGGAGCCAGCAGCACAGGGAGGCCAGGCGGGCACTGCAACCAGTTGTCATAAAAAAAGATTTTCTGGAAAGCAAAACACTGAAGACAGACAAGGGTGGAGAAGGAAAGGCCCTACTACTAAGAATTCTAGTTCGTTCTCTTATAATAAATGTCCATGAGTGCATTTTTGACCTAAAAATTTCAGTCCTTGTCTCCACACATTCCCACTGGGGGTTGAAGACCCAGACTCTGGTGCCCGATGCTGTATCAGAAGAGTCTCCTTCGGAATGCAGAGGTTTCAACCTCCTTTCAGAAGAATTAGCCATGCTTTTAATTGCTTCAGACAATTTCGGGCGGTGATAGAAAAATATAGGCAGCTTATCAGAATGGAAAACTCCTTCTTGAAATTACAAAGAATTTTTTTTTCTCACAACAAGTTCCTTAACTCAAGAGAAAAAAAAAAGCTGAATGAAGTGACTTTAAAAGAAAAAGGAAAAGCAGTTCTTCTGAAACAGGGGGGTTGAGACACTCCGGTATTTCCAGCCAATGAAAAATGTGATATATGCCAGGCTTGTGTGATGCTAAGGCTAAGTGACTGCAAATTAATTGAAAAATATCCTGGATAACTTAAGTTGCAGGGAGCACATTAGGTCGCTTTGAAACAAAGGCAGAGAGAGTGCTTTTGTTTGGTTGCAGATGCAGGTGACCTTGCAAGAAGCACACTATAAATTGCTGTAATTGTGGGATGATAAGCCAGGTTGATAGATTTCTGTCACTCTCCCTCAGTAAAAAATGGGCTCACCTTCCTGAAGTCTACAGAGGCATATACATCAAGAAGCACATCATTGCTTCTGAGTTTCTGAGGCAAGACAGGTTTCTCTGTCCATTTACAAATATCCAGAAGGAGTATCCACATTTTGCCTATCCACAGGAATTCACGTTTATTGCAGCATCATTTTCGTATCTTTTTCTTGAAGTTTTATTCCATTTCTCTTTTATTTCTAAATGTGAATGTGGCTTTGGACAATAACGTCCTGGTGTGATTAGGAAACAGGGCAAGTAAGGGAAAACCCCCCAACAAGGGGCTTATTTCCCCTTCTTTGTTTTTTAGACCAAGTAAACACAACCAAAAGGGACAAAAAAAAGGGAAAGAGGATGCTTATTGATCACTTTGTAGGAGCAAACCGGAAAGACTTAAGGAGTCCTGCTGTGAAGTCTCTGCTGCTGCAACATAAAGTAGAGTGTTGTGGCTCAGGCAACCCTAGACTCTGCTGTCAATAGAAAGACCATGTTAGAATTTATAGCACATATTCTGTACTTTCTTTTGGAAACATTTCTGGTTTTTTTTTTTCTTTTCCATTCAGAAAATAGCATGCTGCAGGATAGAAACCCTTCTGCTGTTTCCTTGAGCCAGTGAGAAAAAAATTCGACAACATGGAAGCTCTTTTGTCTGAAAACCAAGGGTTATGATTTAGGGGTACACACTGATGCAGAATCCTTAGGAAATGAGCATGAGGCATAGTGTAGGAGTTAACAGGGTGGATTTTGGAATCATATAAACCCAGGGGTGAACCCCAGCTTGGCTGTGTAACCTGGGGTCTGTTATATGATTTCTCTAAGCCTCAGTGGCCCTGGGTGTCAAATAGAAGTGCTTTTACCTCGCTGACAGGGTTAAAATGAGGATTAGAGATGATATAGGAAAAGTGGCACAGTGCCTAGTGCATAGTAGGTCTAAAAAAATGGTGGTTTTCACTCTACAAAGGAGCACTTTAGTATATAGATGTGCTTCTAGCAGTATCTATCATGTCACATGAGAAAACAGCATAAAAATAGAAAAAGTACTCACTCAAATAAACGTAATATATATAGATTTTGGAGTCAGACATCTCCACAGAGGCTCCACACAAGATATGTGGCCACTGGAAAGTAGCTTAATCCCCTTGGGTCTCCTTTTTCTTATCTATATGTTAGAGATAATACATTTTTCATAGAGATATTGTGAGGAGCCAATGGTGTCTCTAAAAATAAACAAGTAAATAAATAAACATAATGTTTGGCACATAGTAAGCACTCAGTATATACTTGCTCTTATCCTCCTTTCCCACTGAAGAATAATAACAAGAAGAAGACTATGAAGAGTGTATTATTCAGAACCAATAAAATGTGTGTGTCTGGAGAGAGATATTTATTTTAAGGAATTGGCTCATGTGATTATAGAGGCTGGCAAGTCCAAAATCTGCTGTGGTCTGGCAGATTGGAGTCCCAGGATGAGCCGATGCTACAGTTCAAGTTCGAAGGCTGTCAAGTGGGAGACCCAGGGAAGAGCTGATGTTGCAGTTGAAGTCCAAAGGCAGCCTGCCACAGAATTCTCTCTTGCTCAGGGAGGTCAGTCTTTTGTTCTATTCAGGCCTTCAACTGATTGGATGAGGTCCATTCATACTATGAAGGGTAATCTACTTCATTCAAAATCTACCAGCTTAAATATAAACCTCATCCAAAAAACAAAAACAAAGAAAAACCTCAGAGAAACATCTAGAATAATGTTTGGCCAAATATCTGTGCTCTAAGACCCAGCCAAGCGGATGCATAAAATTAACCATCACACGTATCTTTAATCATTTCAGAGACTCCTTTTTGAAAACAAAGAGGGGCAACCAGCTGATTAAACCAGGTTTGAGAAATTAGAAATGGAATTGTTAATGGAGAAATTCCCTTCTTCTATTAGCCTTAGATCCTTGGGGTTAGAGCTGGGACACAGGATGGATGGTAGTGTATCCTGATTTTTGTAATGCAAAATTTCAGCATTTTGTTCCACCCCATGAAAGTTTCTATCCCCTTTGGACTAAAAGACGAATGTCTCTATCACTAAAGCAGTGTCCATCACTGACTTTGCTAACATAGTTCATGTTTGTTACTGCCCTTCCAACATGATTTCTACAACAAATAGTAAGAGAGATCTAATGTTACATGATTCTAGCTTAAAGATAAAGGAGAAATCTAATCTTCATGTGACATGGCATATTCTTCTAAATATGGGAAGCATTATGCACGGCATTTTCTGGTGTATTTTCTGTAACTGTATACTGCATTTCACATGCACCAATTGCTTTGGGACTGGCTATAAAATAGCTATGTAAGTTGTTTCTAAAGGCTGTATTCTGAAACACCTTTCTAAATGCTCCGCTTAATTTTTTTCCCACACTGTAATTCATTGGTGGCCTTTTCTACAATGAATTGTTGGAATTAACCAATAAATCAGCAGGAAAAGACATGCCAATTTCCTTCCCAGTTGATAAATTACAGTGTGGGCTTGGCATAATATGTTTTATTTTGTGAGTGTGTCTGTGTGTGTGTGTGTATGTGTGTGTATTCTCCCCTTCCCCCAATTTTCTTTTCAAGAAATTCTGAAATACTGGAGCTTCTATTTTGCTTGCCAATTTTAATGGGCAATATATAGTATATATTTCTATTATGTATTATAAACATCTGTAATCAAGGGGTGACAGTTATTGACAATTAGAAAATAGTATTATTCCAGGTTTGCTCAGATGCATTTGCCGTAAAAATGATTTGCTTTCCATTCTTATACCCAATTTGTTTATGTTCATCAGAATTTCTCTACCTCTCAGGCCTCAGTTTTCTTGGTAACTAACATGTTATTACTATATTTAAAGAGCAGTGTTTCCTATTAATCCACAGATCAGTAACTGTAAATAATGCTGTAATCCTCTTTCTTTAACAAAATATTAATGTAATAAAGATAATAACATTTCTTTAGGTTGAGAATGTTTAATCATCTATTCTCATGAAATATAAGTAATCAACCCTTTGCCCAGCTATATTACCATTAAGGCGCTCAGACAAATCTACTTATAAAATGACAATGCTGGTCAGTAATAGCAATAAAGGTAACTTAGTGTCCCTCTTGGGAAGCCATTCTACTATCTACACGTACAACGTGTTTCCTTTAGATTCATCTCTTTTTACTGCGTAGCGATATAAACAGAGAGGTCATTACGGATCCCCTGGCCAACCTGCCCTGAGAGCCCACCATCTACATGGTCTGGCTCACTTCTCTGAGGTAGAACCTCTCTCTTCTTAGATTCTTCACTGCATAAGGTAAAGTTCCTCATCGATCAAGTAAGAACACAAATATTTCAGATGGTTTTTGGGATGATTGATTGGAAAGTGACTTACTCAGTGCTGAGTGCAAAGTAGCCCTTTGGTAGGTGTGCATTCTTTGTTCTGCAAAGAAGTGGCAAAATCCTTAGAGAGAATGTTGGGAAATACTTAAACTAAAGGAGGAGAAAAAGAAAAAGTAGTTAACAAAACCCAAGACAATCAAGAAGAGACAGGGCCCAGGAGAGACAAGGCCGTGGAAGTCAAAGGAAGTTAATGTCCATGAAAATTTTATGACACAGTGTCTGAGAACAAACAGAGTCTAGGACAAGAGAAACTAAAATGTTCTTTCCTAACAGTGTTTTTAAAATAGTGTGTCCCTGTGCTCTGTCACCATTCAGGACCAGCATGTTAATACCAGGGCCAGGCCTTTTAAATAATTCAGTCTCCTGACAAGGAGCAAAATATGGAAGATGAGAGAGACCTGGCTTAATAGAAAAATCACATGAAAAAAAAAAAAGATCTAGGAGTTGCATTGAATGCAAGCTCCAGGTGAGGCACCCGTGTAAGATAGCAAAAAAAAAAAAAAAAAAAAAAAAAAGAAAAGAAAGATACAACATGAATTAATAGAGAAAGGACATCATTGGCAAGGGAGATTAAAGTGATGCACTAATAGATTAAATATGAAATGCTGTGGCCCACACTATGGATGAAACTCTTTAGGCAGGACTTGAACAATTAGACTGTGACCAAATGAAAGCAGCCAAAATAATGAGAATGTCCGAAAAACATGTTAATTGAGGAGAAGTTCCAGAAACAGAGAATGCTTCTTTAACCTGTATATCAACAAGAGTCTTAGCAGGAAACGGAATCCAGCTCAGATAGTTCAAGGGACTTTAATGAAGTGGCTGCTTACAAAGGTGTAGACAAGGTTAAGGGATTCATGGAGGAAGGACTATTGGACAGGAACCATAGTCACAAAAGGACATAAACACAACCAAAAATGTAGACACCAGTAAAGAGCAAGAAGGAAATTCCCTACCTCTTTTTCCTTCTGATTTCCAAGTTCCTCTTGGTCCTTCCTCGACCAAACCCACATGAGAATCAGGTGGCAAGAGAGCCTGTGTTTCTCTCTGTAAGGTTTAGCTTCCTGGAACCTATACTAGGGCGTACAAGGCAGAGAATGGACCATGGACTGTGTTCAGGAAGGGGAATCAATAGAGAAAATTCAGTACAACCTGGAAAATAAGAGACCTCAAATATTTGTAGGGCTGAACCATAGAACAACAGTTATTCACCGACAGTTATCATAGGGGAGCAGCATATTGGCTCAGTGTACTGAAGAGCATGCTTATGATACAACCTGCCTAACAAGGAAAGGCCTGCCACCTAAATTAGTAAGTTCCCTATTTTTGTGGAGTTGATCTGTAGTTGGATGGTTATTTGCTAGGGGGATTGTAGATGGAATTTCTGCTTAGGGTTCTTCAAATCCAGAGTTCATGAGCCTTTACTATTATTATTCATGAGCCTTTACTATTTCCATCTTTCTCCCAAGATCAACCTAGTGTTTCCTTAAATATTATAATTCCTGTTACCCTTTTTTTTTTCTAAGAATATAGCCATCTAAGCCTCTTAGATAGCTAAAAATGTGGGAATTGATATCTCATGTTGAACATTGGCTTAAACATTACAGATAATAGCAAATTCTGTTGCCCAAAGGTGAATTATTCTCCTTCTGGATTACCTATGACATTTGGCTGCCTTCCTCCATTGCTTTGCATATTTAATAGGCTGTTTTTTAAAATCACTGTCACCTTCCCAAGAAAGCTACACTAATTGTTCCCCTTGTTTTATGTCTGTCAGATAAGCAAACTTGCTTCTTGTTTCTGACTCCAGAAAATGCTTTCAGCCAATGTAATGTTAGAAGGAAAGAGCCAACATGTCCATGTGGTTTTATAGCAGAGGTACAGGAATTAGGAGAGAGGCATGGGCTCACATCCTGGATCTGCCACTAATTAGCTTTCTTAAATTATTCAAGTCACTTTAATTCTCCAGAACTCAAATGTATCATCTGTATAGTGAGGGGATTGAATTTGCTTATCCTGGAGGAAAAAGATTAAAGTCTAGGGTTCTAGCTCTATTTTAGAATCTCATACCTTATGAGAAGTTGGGTTTCCAATTCCCCAATCTCCTCACATTTGATCCCCTCTTGATTCAGGACTTGCTAAAACAAGACAATAAAACATCACTTAGTTTACTGTTCTTGTATTATCCTTGCTAATCCATCCCTTCAATTCACAGGGTGGATAATGGAAATTCTCTTTGTATCTCCGTAAACTCAATCTATTATTGAAAACTATTATTGAGAATTTATTTTAATTTGCAGCCGTTTGCCTTCTTAAGACAAAGGAATCTATCAGGACAACATATTGCCCACAATACAGGACCAAAAATCTTTTCCCTACCCTACCCTCCACCCAAGAAGGGCTTGAGTAACCTATAAAATAAAACCTAGTTTTTGGATCAGTACCACGACTACCTCTTCTACCCTAAAAGCATCACCAAACATGTGTTCAGATTTCCACAAAGCATAGAAACTTCTCTTGTTGAACTGAAGGTCACCTGTTTCACAAGCCATTGTTTGTCTTTGAAACCCAGTGGAAGAATGAGGATGAAACAATAAAGAGAAGCTCAAATAAGCTGTGGAGGGGGTATTTTTCAATGGAGATTAGGACGCATCAAACTGTCGTCACTATGTATTGAGACCAGAGTTAGTTCAAGAAATTTGAGCTAAGGAGCACATCTCTTTTCTTGACCTTCCCTCCAATACTGGGGGCTCCACCCCAGCATGGAAATCTTCCTGGGATGTTAATTTATTCCTCTTTTTAATCCAGCTTTATTAAAAAGTCCTTGATGTCTATCAGTGAGTTAATCTAATAAATCACACCTGTGAGCTTAATTAATGTTTATAAAATTCCTCAGGATCTTGGAACGAAAGGAGCTAAATGCTCAAATTGGAAAGTGTAACTATTATTATTGTGTGTGGTTTTTTTCCATTGAACCTAGCCCTCAGTTACATGGCATTGACGGTCCTGAGACTGAGATTCATTAATTTCAGCTGACTCTTAGGAGGACTTTGTGAGACTTCGCAAATGATCCTGGGAACACCTTATTTCAATTTCTGTAGAGTACATTATCTTTACTCATTAAAAAATTATCACAGTGATGGATTCTGTTTAATTTAAATTGACTTCTTTGTGGGGGGAAAAAGGCAATTAAAGTTAAGAAAATTTAAAAGGATTCCTAGGTGGGGGAAAGCATTTCAGTGGGACAATAAAATGGCAACTTGACACTCACACAACATAATTCTTGTTTTCTCTGATTAGAGAAAACACATTCTCTCTGAAGCTACTCTCTGAAGGCTTTTAGGCCAAATTGGTGAACTTGTGCTATGTGGAAACGGTTTTGTACCAACCGTTTAAAAATAACCAAAACAGATACTCACTTCTCAAAGTAGGAAATTAACGATAATGTCTCAAACTGATAAGCAAAAATAAGGTTTATTGTTTAGTGAGATGGAAATATCTTTAACATAAGAAATGAGGTGACCAACGAATAATACATGTTTATTTAAGACTGTCTTGGTTTTACCACCAACAGTCCCCCATCTCAGGAAACACTTCAGTTCTGGGGAAAAGGGAACTGCTGGTCACCTTTGAAATAGATACGAAGTTTAAAAGTAGTTTTTCAAATATTTTTGGAAGACAGAAATCTTAGTATGGCTTATTTGATTTAGGGTAGGTTTGACAGATAAAATGCAGGATACCTACTTAAATTTGAATTTCAGATAAAGAATCATTATTTAGTATAAGTACATTGTAAACATTGTCCCAACTATTGCATGGAACATGTTTATATTTAAAGGTATTTATTGTTTACCTGCAATTCAAATTTAACTGAGCATCTTGTATCTTTATTTGCCAAATCTGGCTACCCTAATTTAGGTTCCTCAAAAGAACCTAGAGGTGGGGAAAAGGACTAGAGCTTTTCTTTTTAAGCTTTTCAGTACTCTTTAAGTTTTAAATTATCTAAATGTATGGCTTTGACTTAAAATTTACAACTTAAATATAATACAATTTTAGCAGAGAAGAAGGAAGGTAGTTGTATATAGCAGGGAAAGTAACACTGGAGCAGGAAGGACAAGTGGCGAATGGGGGACGCAAAAAAAGACAGTAGGTTGAACATTATTTTGTCAAGCTGATTCAGATGAAGGAGAGAGCATCACCTTCTAGGGGGTCTGTTTTTTTCTGCCTTCCTCCTTTTCTTCTTTCTTCCTTATTCTTCTTGGGTTTCATTAACTTCATTTCTAGTCATTGATTATTTTCACCTGAGTTCTTCCTGTCTACTCAGGGTTTTTCTTTACTTTCTTTTTTTTTTTTTTTTTCTATCCTTCCACTTAAGCCACATTCTAACTTGACACTTTCAAATATTTTTCAGAAGGTAGAAATTTGGCATTGCTTATTTGATTGGACTAGGTGCCAGGTGAAATACAGGATGCCCAGTTAAATTTGAATTTCAGATAAAGAATAATTATTTAGTATAAATATGTTGCAAACATTGTCCCAACTATTGCATGGGACATGTTTATATTTTTAAAGTATTTGTTATTTTACTGAAATTCAAATTTAACTGGGCTTCCTGTAGTTTTATTTGCTAAATCTCGTAACCCTGGTTTAAGTGTCTCTCTCCCTCTCCCCACCCCAGATTATATTTAGGGTGGGGAAATGATCAGGGACTGGAATCTAGAAGTGTTGGATTTGTTATTTAACTTCCCTGAGCCTTGATTTTCACATTTGAAAAATGAGGGTGTAGATCTAGATGTTCTCTCCATTCATTTCCAACTCTAAAATGTATACATTAAACGTACCTTGTTTGAGAATGTTCTTGACATAGCCAAAAATACCTCATGAGTCACAGTTGAGAGATGCTGATCGGATCTGTCTCTTTCAAGAGAGTGATAGCAGACAGGTTGGGCAATTTCCACTCTGAGTCCTGTTTGTGGCCAGATTCTCTGAGGTAACGGAGAGATTCCTGAGTGTCTAGGAGTGCAAATCACATTTTATGACTGTTTCGGAATTCGGCAGCCAAGAGAATCTGAACTAGACTTAGAAGTTACGAGTATTTCCCATAGTGTCTGCGTGCAGAGGAAAGACAAATCGAGTATTACATGGCAGCGTCAGCCACAAGATATGCTGGATACATCATGTTTACTTCCAGAAACATGCACCCAGCTTCCATGGCCCAACAGAGATGACTCACCTCATGTGACTGGCTTTGGAGATTTCATATTTTAATACACTGAGCAATTTCCATGCATGAGTTGAATAACACCACTTCAGATTTATAGCTGGGAGGCGGTGCAATGCAGTAGCAAGTTCACAAGCTTTGAAGTCAGTCGGGGTGGAGTGCCAATCCTAATTCCACCCATACTACTATG
Organism: Homo sapiens; assembly: GCF_000001405.40. NCBI lineage: Eukaryota > Metazoa > Chordata > Mammalia > Primates > Hominidae > Homo > Homo sapiens. The sequence continues at coordinate 30,741,016 of NC_000011.10, read as the reverse complement.
TGACCTTCAGCAAGTCACTTTATCATTATGTGTAGCACATGGAATGGCTCAGGTTTAATGAGTGCTTACCATGTTCCAGTGCTACATGATTTTTTTGCTCACTTCAAAAACCCTTACCATGTCTCTAAAAGATAGGTAATATTATAAATTACAATTACAACATAATTTTCTCATATAGTTTTATATTTTCAATTATGAATGAAGAAACTCAAGAGAGGTATAAAATCTGGCCAAGGTCACATGGAATGGAGGAGTGAAGCCAGGACTTGAAATCAAGTCTTATCTGTCCAAAATTCACGTTCTTTCCATTGCACTCATTGTCTCACACCTATAAATTTTCTTTTTCCCATGAGGGTTTTCTATCTCTACATATTCATCTTTTCTGGTGGTGTTGTAAGTACTCAAGGATGTCGTATAAATAAAGCCGACAGCACAGTTCTGGCACATGTTAAATTGTTATTTTTATACTCTCTTCATTTGACAATGATTAGTAATCATAGTTAACACTAACTGGAAGACATAAGATGTACGATTCAAGATATTTGCTTTCTTCCCCAAGTCAGATGGTCTGGCCACATAAAACCACTCCAACTTAGGGATCAAGAATCTCAAGGTTTGAGGAAATTTCTCAACACATCTAAAATAGTACAATGTTGTTATTTTAGATAAGGTGTAGACAGACCATGGCCTCTGAGCCAAACCTGGCAAGCCACCTGTTTTTGGAAATAAGCATTCTTTGGAGAACAGCCATGCTTGCTTGTTCATGTGTTGCCTATGGTTGCTTTCAGGCTGTAACAATGGAGTTGAGTGGTTGCAACATGACCCATGAAGCATAAGCTATTTACTATGTGGGACTGTAGAGAAAATATTTTCCAACTCCTGTTGTAGATCATACCAAATCAGCAACTGCAATAATTGGAAAGCTTAGAAAGAAACTGGGCTTCAGCATCAGCTGGGGAGGGAATATTACAGTTATTTAATGCCCTGAGGATCCATATGTAGGGTACGCATAACTGTGAACTGAGCCAGTACATCCTTATGTGACTAATTTCCAAATGTACATGAATGCTATTGTGATAGATAAAATTAAAAATTACTTAAAGACTTCATTAAATTCATACACACTTTGGGTCATTTGACCAACAAATAATAATTTCTGCCATGAAAGGGTCTCTAGAATTATTATTTTTTTTTACAAAGAAGGCCTAATGATGTAACAGAATGCATCTTAGCCATCCTAAGAAGTAAACCCATCAAATTTTAAAACAGTGCTTGAACAGTGTTTTTTGTATTCCAACAATGACTAAAGGTGAACAGTTAGAAATAATTCTTAGCCATTTGCTTTTTAAAAAAAAGTATAGCAAGCTATTTAAGATCTACAGGGTGCCTCCCTTTGCAATTGAATACATTTTTAGAGATTTCCCAAAGCTGATGAAATGGAGTTGCTGTTTTATTATTTGTCTTGCTGTTTAATAATGTTGGATTCAGTCATTTTGATAATTCAGATTGATCTTCACCCCTTAAGCAGAAATGAATAGTTGATATCTCTCATAGATTTTTGTGTGTTTTACTGTTGCTCTTGTTCATTTTGTTTACTTTTCCATAGGTTCAGATTTTTTTTTTTTTTTTTTGCTGTAAGTGACAGGAAAACCAACTCAAAATGGATTAAGGTAAAAAGAGAAATTAATTGGCTCATAAAACTCAAAAGTACACAGGTACAGCTGCCTTCAGGTGTGGCTTGATTCAGGCTTCAAACAGTGACAGTAGCATCTGGCTCTTGGCTTTGCTTCCTGTGGGTTGGTTCCATTTCAAGCACTGTGAATTTCTATCATGTCCCTCAGAGCTTTAAGGTGGCTACAGATGCAGGCTTCACACTCATACTCTGCCAATTACAATAGTAGAGAAAGAAACCTTCCTTTCCCTAGAAACACCAGCTAACCCCTCTTCACACTGACTCTAATCCCCAAACCAATCCAAGAGAGAAAACAGGCTGGCTGGTTTAAGGCAATCCAGATGTATCCTTAGAGCAGGACTTGTGTCAACCCCATCCAAGCCATGTTGGCTGAAAGTGGAAGAGAGGGAATTACTCAAAGGAATCAGAGTACTATTTCTGGATGCAAAGGGACAGGGAGGAGAGGGATGACTTTTATGAGGAGGAGGTGAGCAATCTATATTCTCTACAACTCTGAAGCAGCTTTTGTGCTCCCGGAATTTAAGTTTTGAGTTACACAGAGGAAGTAGAACTTTGTAGTCAAAGGTATGCATTTGGTTTTTTGTTCTTGCGATAGTTTACTGAGAATGATGGTTTCCAATTTCATCCATGTCCCTACAAAGGACATGAACTCATCATTTTTTATGGCTGCATAGTATTCCAAGGTGTATATGTGCCACATTTTCTTAATCCAGTCTATCATTGTTGGACATTTGGGTTGGTTCCAAGTCTTTGCTATTGTGAATAATGCCGCAATAAACATACGTGTGCATGTGTCTTTATAGCAGCATGATTTATAGTCATTTGGGTATATACCCAGTAATGGGATGGCTGTCACTCATAGGTGGGAATTGAACAATGAGATCACATGGACACAGGAAGGGGAATATCACACTCTGGGGACTGTGGTGGGCTGGGGGAGGGATAGCATTGGGAGATATAACTAATGCTAGATGACGAGTTAGTGGGTGCAGCGCACCAGCATGGCACATGTATACATATGTAACTAACCTGCACAATGTGCACATGTACCCTAAAACTTAAAGTATAATTAAAAAAAAAAAAAAAAAAGGTATGCATTTGGGAATCAGACTCCTGAAGTTCAAATTCCAGCTCCCCTTGCTTATTAGCTGTATGATCTTGGGCAATTTAATCTCTCTGTGCTTAGTTTCCTTCTCTATAAAAGGAAGATAAAAATACCTTATTTACAGGGTTGTCATGAGGACTAAATGAGTAAATATTCATGAAACATTTTGAACAGTGGCCTATAGTAAACACTGGATATGTGTTTTACTATTGTTATCATATTTTGGTTGGAAGTTGAAAGATAAGTCAATTATGGACAGTTGATTTTGTGTTTCTGGTCAGGCTATCTGCAACTATTTCATTTTCTAATGCAATAAATGATATGATAGGACTGCTTCCCCTTAGCACTGCTTCCTTTCATATGAATCAGGATAGATTAGGTTATGCTGTAATAACAAGCAATACCCAAATCCTCAAAGTCTTCAAACAACAAAGGATTATTTCACAATACTAGATGTCTGCCGCAGGTCATCTAGGAGCTCTGCTCTACATTGTTGTTATTCTCACTTTGGAGACCCAGATGACAGAGCAGTCACAATCCGTAGTGCTATTGATCTCCATGGGAGAGGGAAAGATATATAGCAGAGAAATAGAGTCTTAATGCTTCTTCTATTAAATAACACACATCACTTCTGATTCACATTCTATTGAAAAAAGCAAGTCACGTGGTCATAAGTAGGTGGTACAGTACAGTCCTATCATGTGCCAGAAAAAAAAGAGAATATCTGTGAACAGTCCTAATGCCCACCACACAATGTATTGACATGTATACTTATAAGTGCCATGTCCTCAGGGCATGTACAAACTTCATGAGAAATTTAAGTCTTGTGGCTCTTCTCATAGTATCTAGTCCTCTGAACAGTGGGTCTTTAATCAATATTGTTCAACGTTAACCAATCATATCCTGAGTCAATGGACCACTCAGATTCTTTTCTTGTCTAGAAAAGGGAATGAGAGATAGGAATTCAGGTAAAACAAAACTGTGCTAAAAAAAACATACAGTTCTGTAATCTTTGTTTCTTTATCTTTAAAATTAGAATATAATAATATCTATATACAAAGGTTCTGTAAGAATTAAATGAGATAATGTTTATGAAGTTCTTAGTTCAGTTTCTGGTGCATAGTAAATGCTCAACGTATGATAGCTAGCCTAGACCTTGGGAAATACATCAGCTTTAGACTATTTTCCTTCTTCGTTTCCTATTATTAACCATGGAAACCAAAGATCATGGGTATTTGTACAGCCAATCATTCACTGCTCATGAAGTGGTCCTTGTGAATGAGGATGGAGAGATTTTATCCTTTGAGGTATCTGGCTGGTAGGCAAAGGTAGGTTAGAGGGACTATTTTTGAGGAGGCAAGAGAACTTACCACAGCTGAGGAAGTAGGCTAGGTGCCAGAGCCAGCTTCATAGATGTGTGACCCATGCAGTCACACAGGGCTCCACAATTGGTTCGTAAACAAAAAACCCCACATTTTAATTTTGCATGGGGCCCCACAAATTATGTAACCAGGCCTGTCAGGTGCAAATAATTCCACAGAATCTCTAGTCTCTCCTACCGTTCCCCTGACCCACCCCTCACTTCCCTGATGAGAACTAGCAGTGATAATAACAGAGGTGGGAAGCCACAGCCTCAAGGAACACCTAAAAGTAGAGAAGAACCAGTACTCACTTGCCCGCAGTTAGAACAGGGTCATTTCAGGGATCTTGGGGTCATGGCAGATGAAAGGGTATGGCTGATTTCAGGCACATTGCATTGCTATTGAAGCTGTTCCAGCATGGCAGGAAAGGAGAAGGGTAGACCTATATGTTACATAGAACAGGGCCATCATACTTGGGGCCTGAAACAATGAGTTTTGGCTAAAAGTTGCTCATCTAGGAGTGAAACTGAGGGATGCCTGTTTCCTCCCACCTAGGAAAACTATTGCAGGGCTCCATAAAAGCAGCAAGGATCAGGACCAACAGGCTTTTGGTTTAGAGACCTCAGCAGGTGCTAGTCCAGGGTGGGAGGTGAGAACCAAAGAGCTCAGGAAACCTACAGAATGATTGAGGTCAGCACACTTGCAGCTTTAGGGTCTGGCTCCCTCATGTGGGACATTAGACAAACCACTGGAAAATTCTTGGGGTTCTAGAACTTGTCACAGACTGGGGACATCAGAGACAAAAGATATTCTTGAGGTTTTTACCCTTATGAAATAGGTAAAACATTTTAGAGTGTGCAAAAAAGAACACAAAACAGAATCATGTACCCATAATCAGATTGGACACATTCTGACATTTTGATATATTTGCTTTAGTCTCTTTTTTTTTAAGATAAGAATTTCTAAACAGTAGACGCCTTCTTGTATCCCTCATCTATCTTCTTTCCTTCCTTCTTTTTCTAGATGAAGTGGTGGTATGACTTCTATGTTTATTACAAATTCAGGTGTTAATAAATAATATATAGTAGTAGTTTCAAGGTTTTCAAATTTACCTCAGTGGCAATATACGGTATATATCCTTTGGCTACTCAGTATTTTGATATATGTTTGACATATATCAGTGTTGATAGGTAAAGATCTAGTGCATTCATTGAACATTTTAATTGATCGATAGCATATCACTAAATGAATGAATATGCTATAATTTATTTGTCTATATTTGTATATCATATATGTATACAAGTACATATATATAATATGTAACTATATTTTAGTGTGTTTATCAGATATAATGGTATCCTCCTTTTGTTTCTCACTTTAAAGATAATATTTCTAAAGTTTCAGCACTAAGTATTGTTTGCCAGAAGTTTTTCACATATACTCTCTATTGTGTTGACAAAATTTCCTGAAATTTCTAGTTTGTTAGTAGTTATTGTTTTACTAAATGCTTTTTTTTTGCATCTAATGAGATGATCATATCAATTTTCTCTTTTAATCTGTTAACATAGTGAATTTCTCTGCTAGGTTTTTAAGGCAGACACTACTTGTTGACTATAAAATAGTTATTCTTCCCCATTTCTCTTGCTAACAGAATGTTGATTTTGTTCAGGGCATCAGTGGTGGAAGCTAATTATAATTATATTTTCACTGCTTTTACAACCTCCCTTTCAGCTACAGGTGGCATTCTGGCCAGTCTGGCCGATGATCTGTTAAGTGGAATTCTGCCAGGAAGACTCCAGGAAAAATAAAAGAGAAAAACATGGCAGATGGAACCCTTCACCCATCCTCCTTTTTCCTTTTTCTAACCTTTGTCTAACGTCAGAGCTGCCAGCAGTCCCTGTATAAGCATGGGTAAAAGAGTAAAGAATCATCACTCCTGATACTGGTGAGCCACTGAACCAACACCGGCCACTGACTACCTCCAGATTTCTTTTTATGTGAGTAAAATAAATGCCTACTTGTGCAAGCCATTTTAAACAAGTTTCCTGTTGCTTGAACTTGGACATCTTTCTGACAACATTTCCATGATAACCATGTTTTTATATTGTTGAAATAGATACTACTTGGTCACCACGTATTTTAAATACAATATTGTATTTATTCTGCTAATATATTATTTAAGTTTTTTGCACCTGTATTCATTGGTGAGCGAGGTCCATAATCTTCCCATTAAATGCTTTTTTGTCTAGTTTTGATAGACTCATAACAGTGGATGGGCAGCTTTTCTTCTCAGTCTAATTTCTGGAATAATTCGTATAAAGCTTATGTGTCAATATTAAAGACACCTGTCTGGGTCTGATACTTTCTTTTGGTGAATAAAGTTCTCATTGTTAATTTAGGTTCTTCACTTATTAGATGTACATTACAATAATCTGTTTCTTCTTGATTTAACTTTGGTAATAACTCACGGTTTTTTTAAAGTAAATTATCTGCTTTATGTAGGATTGCAATAGTACTGGAATAGAGTTGCTCATATTTTCTTATGGTCTTACCATCTTCAATGCATCTAAAGTTATCCTCTTTTTTCATTCCTAATATTGTTTGTCTATGTACTGTTTCTTTTCCCCATGATCAATCTTGTCAGTTTATATATTGCATTAGTCTTTACAAAGACTCAGCTTTTAACTTTCATTTCTTCTCTTCTTTTTTTGTTTTCTATGTTATTATTTTCTGCACTTACTGTTTCTTTCCATTTACTTCAAGTGTGCAATACTGTTTTCATCTACCTCCTTGAGCTGATTGCTTTACTCATTTTCAATATTTCCTGTTTTAAAATGTGTGCATTTAAGACTACAATATTCCCTTTAAGTCCTTTTCTAGTTGCATTCTGACAGTTTAGATATGTAGTGATTTCACTGTCATTCAGTTCCAAGCATGTCACAAATTCCCTTAAGATTTCTATGTTAACCCATGAATTATTTACAAGAAGGACTTTGCGTTTCCAACTATTTGGGATTCTTCCTTCTTTTTATAGTTGATTGTTGATGTTTTTGCATCATACAGTGTGGACTACAGGATAATGATTCTTCAGTATCTGTTGAGATTCCTTTGCCAAGGATACTACTCAATTTTTGTATATATGAGTGGTCTCAAGAAGAAAACATATTCTCCGTTGAGTACAGGATTACATATGTCAATCAGATCAAAGTTGTTGGTTGTGTTGTTTGCATTTTCTATATGCCTAATTGATTTTTGTTCACTCCACTTACCAATTTCTAGAGGTTATAATTCAAACATCTTTATTATGATACTGTATTTGTCTAGTTCTTTCTTTATGTATGTTGAAACTGTATTTTTAGAGCACTCAGAAACAAGATGGTTCTATCTCTATTGTTAAAAAGAATTTAATGATCAAAAAAGATCATCTTCATTTTCTTCCTGAAAGTCTATTTTATCCAATGATAATATCATAGTACCAGACTGCTTTTTTAAGTGTATTTTTAAAAGTGTAAGCTGTAAAAATCCGAACATTTTATTAAAAGACAGTGTGTGCATAATGTAAGTTTCCGCCCTACTCCTGTCCCCTTTGCCTTGGTTTCCCTTCTCAGAAGTAAACTGTTGTGTTTGTATGTACCCTTTTGCAAATATTCTAAGAGTTTTTAATTTCAATGAAAATGTAATTATATTGGAGTTTTTGTGAATTTATCTGTTCATTTTTCAGAAGTGCTACTTCTTTTGTTTGCTGCATTTACTGGCTCTATGATACTTTCATTTCATTAAAAAAATTTTATTGTGAGCTCATCTTTTTATGGGATTCTTGTTGCTTGATTTTGTAAGTAGAAATCTGTGAGTACTGTGTTGTAAAAGTGTTTCTAAAGAACTCATTGCAAATGACAAGGTATTTGTGACTGCCATGGTCTCAGGAAAGCTCTCTTAGAAATCTTTTCCTTCAACAAGCATTTTCTACTAGAATGTTGCTGTCCTCAACTTCTGACCCTCTACCTGCCACTTTGATCTTGCCAAAAAGAAGGGTCTTAAATTCTACTTAAATGATAATTAAACTGGGCATAGAGTTCTAGGTTCATAGCTATTTTCCTTTAGTACTTTGAATATATTATTCCACTGTCCCCTATTGAATTTACCCTTCAGAAACTTTTTTTTTTTTTTTTGGCAAAACAAAAATCTCCTAATTTCCCTATTTTTTTTTTTTTTTTTTTTGACAGGGTCTTCCTCTGTCACCCAGGCTGCAGTGCAGTGGCACAATCTTGGCTCACAGCAGTCTCGACCTCCTGGGCTCAAGCAATCCTCCCACCTCAGCCTTCCAAGTAGCTGGGACCACAGGTGCACACAACCACGCCTGGCTAATTTTTTGTATTTTTGGTAGAGTTGGGGCTTAGCCATGTTGGCCAGGCTGGTCTTGAACTCCTGAGCTCAGGCGATCCACCCTCCTTAGCCTCCCAAAGTGCTGAGATTACAGGAGCCTATGTTATCTTTTCTGAATCTCAGAGTCTCTCAAAATCCTCTAAATGCTAAGATCTTTGAGTCTATGATTGTCAAAACTATATTTTAACAGATGTACAAAATTAGTTGGGAAGCAATAATATTATCATTTTCCAAGCCAGTTTAGAGACTCCACTTTCAGCACCTAGGGACTGTATCTCACTTTTTTAAAAAAGTAGCAATGGTGCCAACATCTTGGTCTTTTTAGAAGTTTTTCAAGTTGCAGTCAGGAAAAGCTCTTATCAATAAGATAGATGGTCAAGTTGTGTTCAAAGATGACTGCAAAGTACTGAAACATTATTTTGTGAGCTCCATAAATAGTCTCCAAGGACATGACTTAAAGATAACTTCAAAAAATATTCTAAACAATGGCATAGCTATTAGAAGAAGCATATAAATTCTCATTTGGTGAGCTAGTTCTTTGTTAGGCAAGCATTGTCCTATAGTAACAGGGTTTGATAACATTAGTTTCAACATTGATAACAAGCTATAACAGTCAGACAGTTTATACTCCAACTTCATCATATGTATGTCCTTGGGCAGATCATTAAACTTGTTGATATTAGTTTCTTATATAGTAAAATGAGAATAATTATACTTAGAGTTTGTGCCTGAAAATACCTTAAGGAATTCATTATGAGAAATAAGTGGAATCCCTAAAAATTTCAAAAAATTAAATTTTATGTATTCTGAATGCTAACATTGACTTATCCCAAAAGAACACCAAAACCCATAATAATGGACATAATTTCTTCAATAGTTAATATTGATTAGCATTATACAACTAACAAGTTATTACTTTCATCAATTGTTTTAAAATTTTGCCATTTTTTCTAGTTAAATTCTTTCATAGCCGTTGTACACTATATTCATAAGATTGCACTCATACAAAACACACATAGTAATGTTTAAGTAATTCACATTTAATGCATAAAAAATAAACAAAGGCATAGCTGTACAAAAAGAAATCATGAACCAAATTATGTTATGGATTTATGGAATTGCCTGGGATACTAAACCAGAGCTTTCTGGAAGGAGAACTTCATGTGATCCAAATTTAGAAGAGTACAGATGTGATGGTAGCTCCCCTTCCATCCCTCAGCACTTTGTGAGCTATGCAGCATTCAGGTCAGTCTTTGTCAATGCAAATAACATACATACTTCACATACTAGAGCAAGGATATTAAATGAAATGGACCCAGAAGTTGAGATATTATACATCCCAAATGGGCTTATCTCTGGGTACACCCATAATGAGATAAATACTATATTTAGCTACTATATTTAGCACATGCCTAACACATAGAAAGTGTTCAATAAATAACAATGGTGTTATCATATTGCCATGGTTTTACTAACACATCTTTCCTATTATTCTAGTCAAGTTTTTATATTTGATTCTATAAAACACCTCGTTTTTTATACCTTGTCACTTACAATTGAGTTCATGTTTAAATGGTTCTTATTCTGTTTTCCCAATGAATTTTTAATTTTATTTCTATCTTCTTCTACATATTCCCATCTCCATCACTCCATGAAAAAAAATCTATTTGGAAGGATGAGTAATTGGCTTGTGGCTTCAGCAAGAGTCAATATGTCATTAAGCGCTTACATTTCCAAAAGAAGGTACATCAGTAAGAAGTTAAAAGACAATATTTTGTAGAATGAAAGTTTACTGCTTAAGAAATTTTCTTTGATGGCTTGAGTTTTTCTCTAGAGAAAAAGTAGTCAAAACTCATTATATTTACAACAGATTTATAGTTGTTGCCATATTCAAATTTTCTCTCCAAGGTTTCTTTAACATGATTTTCTCTTCTTTAAGTGACCTTTGTCCCAAAACTCAGAGCCAGCATATAATGAGCATGAGACCCTGTTGTCAGTGGAAACTGTGACAAAGCAGCGTCAGAGATTTTAATGAGAAGAGAAAATACCAGGAGAAAAAAATAAGGGTAGAGTCCAATGTTCATTTAGATCAAATTAAGTAAAAATATTTACCTTAAGAGCAGTGCAGGATCAAATCTTCATTTCCCTGGTACAAGAGCTACTCTTTAAACATGCCTGAGTCAAATCACATGGAAATGAGAACAATAACTCTTTTTATTCTTCTGCCTCTCCAATCTACCAAACAGAATAATGAATAAGCCACCAAGTGCCACCAACGGTGCATGCTTTGTGATTTTTACATACAGGCACCATTCTTCTTGAAGGGAGCAAATTCAGGCTGATTCACTGGTAAATCACATGTTGATGATTTTGGCTTTGCATGCTGGATTTTAACATTTGGGTGCTGCCACCAGACACATGCTGTCTGATATAGAGCAGCCACAGGTGTCACAAGGTGAACTAAAAGTATATGAGCGTCACTAAGAAAACACACATGTGTCTTTGCTTTCTTAGGGAACCCATCTGCAAAACTTCACTCTTCAATCTTCCCTTTTGCTCAGCGGTGAGAACATAGGCACTAGAATCTTTCTAAAACAATCTTCAGAATATAACTTTCCCCCAGGGACAAGTGGGCCCTGGATATTAACCAGAGCTTTAAATTAAACATAATTGATGATAGTAGTGAATAGGAAAAAATACAGATTTGCCTATTAAGAACAAATAATATTCCTGTTTTCAAACCCCCCAACTTTTTAAAAAGAACCATTCCTTACTATATCTTATTCATATGTGTGGAAAACTTTTTTTAAGTTTAAAATAAGGGAATAATACATATTTTATTATTGTGTTGGTTTAGATGATTTATGTTCAAAATATGTTAAAATGATGTTTTTAAAGCTGCTGGTAATTTCTAAAAGGTCACAGAGAGATATATACAAAAAGATAAAATTTGCCACTAGGGAATTAGTACATCAAAAAGGAAACTGTATACATTCAGTTATTTTTAAGACACAATCACTGTCTCAATTGAATTACCTGGTGATTAACAGAAAAATATTTTAGAGGGCAGATAAGGCAGTCTTGATACTGACTGCATCAAGCAGATTGTTAAAGAGGTGGGAGATAAAAGTGAATATGGAATTTCAACATTGTGACCCTAACGTTTGATAGTCAGATAAGACTGTCCACTCTACAGGAAGTGAAATACAACAAAGCAGGATTAGATCACAATGTTCAAGGAGAGATCTCACTTTTGTTTTTTTTATGATGCAAGAATAAAAGCATTGTTTGCTCTCTCAGATGATAGGCACTTCACTAAGTGTGAAAATAAAGAACTAAAGCTGAGTCTACTTTTATGTCTTACCTAATTTCTTCCATGGTATGTGAAAACAAATCAAGAGAGACTGAAAAAGCTATAACTTTACTCATGTATTTTGTAAACATTTAACAATTTACAAAATCTTTTTATAATCATCAACTGGTTTGATTCTCATCACAACCCTGATAGATAAACTGGCTAAGATTATTATTATTTCCACTTTATAAAATGAGGAAAACTGCTTAAAGAGGTTAGGTGATTTGTCCAAAATCAAGTTATCAGTGTTTGAGCCAAGACTCTGACTTTGTCTTATAAATGTGCAGCAAGGACATTTTATCCCCCAACTCACATTCTCTTTTCTTTTTCTTCCTCACTTGACTCAGTTTTTTTTTTCTTTTTTGCTTGTTTTTGTTTTTTTCTTTTTTGAGATGGAGTCTTGCTCTGTTGCCCACGATAAGGCTAAAATGCAGTGGCATGATCTCGGCTTACAGCAACCTCCACCTCCTAGGTTCAAGCGATTCTCCTGCCTCAGCCTCTCGAGTAGCTGGGATTACAGGTGCCCGCCACTGTGGCAGGCTGATTTGTTTTGTTTTGTTTTGTTTTGTTTTGTATTTTTAGTAGAAATGGGGTTTCACCATCTTGGCCAGGCTGGTCTCGAACTCCTGACCTCGTGATCCACCTGCCTCAGCCTCCCAAAGTGCTGGGATTACAGGTGTGAGCCACCGTGCCCAGCCTTGACTCAGTTTTTGACTCAATCACTGTGTTGGTCATCAAGTCCTATGTTAGCAAACAATTTTTTTATTGCAGCAGATTCAGGAAGCTTTTAGCCAATATAACTAATGTCAGTCTGGTTTAGGATTTACATCAAAGGAATAGTAAAAACTTCTCTTTCCCATTCCTATTTTTGTCTCGGACAAGCATATATCCGATGTATGTGATAATTTGTGATATGTACGTATGGTCTGGCAAGAAAAGCATCAAATGTGCTGTCATTTGTGCACTATAGAAAAACAATTTGAAATACTTATGATAGTCCTTTGCAAAATATAGCAAATTCCTTATTTCCTGATGAAGTCTGCTTTAGAGTAACATCTTGACTATGCTATAGGCCTAATAACCACACAGCAAAAAAGACAAGAGAGAGGAAAGGAGGATCTTTGAATTTCTCTATGCTCTAATTATCATGTTGGGAAATCAGGGGTGTTGCTTTCTTGTTTTCTTTGTTTGTTTTAGCTTAACAATGCATGTAAATAAAAATCCATTAAATAAACCAATTTAATAGCAGAAATAATAGCATTTCTTCAGCAGAGTTCATGATCTTACTAGTCAAGACACACAAGATCTCACTTTTTATAAACAAACTGTGTATCAGCCTGCAGAGAGATAGAAATGAATGATGCAAATTCATAGCACATAGTTGTGGGAGAATAGTTAAGGGCAATTTATTCCCACAGTTTCTTTTCAAATAAATTCCCATTCTTTATGTAAATACCCAAGAGGCAAGGTTAGTTGATAAGTTACAGAGCGGGAACCACTTCTCCTCCAATCAAAATGGGAAGGCATTTCTGAAGCCCTGAATGACATGGGGTTGCATTAGGTAATTGAAGAATTGATAAGCAGAGAGCCCTGGCAGATAAATTGTAAAGGTTTGGTGCACTTTCATTTGTTTGTGATAAAGTCTAAAGCAAAGATGTTGTGGAAATGAAAATAATCAAGATAACAATAATGAAAATAGCTAATGTGTACAGAGCACCTGCTCTAGGTCAGAAACTGGGCTTTCAGAGGAAGCACCTACATGAATTATATAATTATTCACTGCATGGATTAGGGTATTGAGGCTTAGCAAGGTGAGGTGACTTTCAAGATCACAGTGGTAAATGATTTAGCTCAAGCTTGTCCAACCCATAGCCAGCAGGCCACGTGCAGCCCAGGACAGCTTTGAATGTGGCCCAACAGAAATTTGTAAACTTTCTTGAAACATTATGAGATTTTTTTTTTTTTGCAATTTTTTAAGCTTATCAGCTATTGTTAGTGTTAGTGTATTTTATATGTGGCACAAGGCAAATCTTCTCCTAATGTAGCCCAGGGAAGCCAAAAGACTGGACACCCTTAGTTTAGCTGTAGTCCCAACCCAGCTCAGGAAAGAGCTTTAGAGGAAAAATCAGGTGCTCTGGCTCCAGTTTTAGCTCCTTTGCTAATTCTATGGTTTGGATAATTCACATGACTTTCATGCACTTTAGTTGCCTCACTGCTAATATTATAAGCTCAGTAATTCCTAATCTGTAGTAGACAAACTCCTGAGGTGGGGAAGGAGCAAGCAATGTGCTTGGAGTTCATTGCAAGTGATCCACTGACTAAATAAATCATGTGTTTTGCTTATATATGTGTTCCTATTTTACAGGTGTGTAGGTTTGTTTTGGGGATATCAAAATAAACTTAAAAATTATTTCTGGATTCATCGATTCATTGTCATGATTATGTTCTCAAACAATAAACTAAAAAAGTTTATTATTAAGTTGGGACTCTCAAAAATATTTTTACATCAAAATTGGGCCTCTGTTTCTTCAAAGGTAAGAAATCATAAGTCAAGGTCATATCTCAAAACCCTTCCAGTTGTAAATTTCAATGATTACAAGAGACAATTTAAATGCCTTATTAATTTTTAAAAGTTGCAGGAGCAATGCATTCAGATTACCTTTTCCCCAGTCATACAATGTATTTATGTGTTGCTTTTTTTTTTTTCCTGGCAGAAATAGTGACTGCCCTGAATGTTTTGTTGAGATAGTCATTGAAAAGCAGAAGCTGGTAGATTTAGCAATGGCTGTTCCTTTGAAGTCTGAAGTCTCAGTGATTTTTCTCATAAATTGTCAATTTCCTATTGAAATTGGTGATCAGTTTGGTAAACCTTAGGAACTCTTAGATTTTTTGTAGGTTAAATGCTTGAAGACCATTGATAGTTAAATCAGAAATCAGCCATGTCGTGTTTCAGTAGATGGAAATCCTCTCATTCTGCCCACTGAGAATAGTGTGGATGATTTTTAACTACTTCAAATGGGTAAGGGCTGCACCTACAGTCCTGATGATTGTAGAAACAACTGCTACTGGAATGTTGTCCTTGAAGGTTTCAGATGGCTGTTCCAACCACGTTGGTGGCCTTTCTTGGGAATAAGTTGCACAATTCTCCTTTTGTTCATATGATACAAAACAAGCTAATTCTAATCAGGCATCTAACCTCTGCTTGCTCATGGTGGGATAGCAAATGGTTACAAAACTTCTCAGGACAAATTGGACATGTGGATGAAAATATTTGACTCAGCAGTTTTTCTCCTAAGAATTTGTCACACATGCCAAAAAATCATGTATTTACAAAGTATTTACAGTTAAAGATGTTTACCTTCCTGTTACTTATGAGAAATTGAAAATGATATAAATGGACAAAAATAGAGGTTTGATTACCTAAACTATGTTACATCTGTGTAGAAATACTATATAGCTATTACAAATTTTTGTAGAACAAATTTAATGACAATAAAAGATATGAAGTTAATAAAGGCAAGTAGGTTACAGATATGTATGTAAAGTATGATTTCCCTGAAATTTTAAACTTGTTTAAAAACGTATTGATGATTTTGTTTGCTTTGATTTTTTTACAATATAAAACCTGACATGGCATTTGAAAGTAGAGCTTAGGGTATATCATAGGCTGCTTCTTCTTTTTTTTTTTTTTTTTTTTTTTGAGATGAAGTCTCGCTCTGTTGCCCAGGCTGGAGTGCAATGGTGCCATCTCAGCTCACTGCAACCTCCGCGTCCTGGGTTCAAGCGATTCTCTTGTCTCAGCCTCCCAAGTAACTGGGATTATAGGCGCCTGCCACTATGTTTGGTTAATTTTTTTGTATTTTTAGTAGGGACAGGTTTTCACATGTTGGCCAGGCTGGTCTCGAAATCCTGACTTCAGGTGATCCACCTGCCTTGGCCTCCCAAAGTGCTGGGATCACAGGCATGAGTCACCACACCCGGCCTAGGCTTCTTTTTTCCTTCCTTCCTTCCTTCCTTCCCTCCCCCTTTCTTTCTTTCTTTCTTTCTTTCTTTCTTTCTTTCTTTCTTTCTTTCTTTCTTTCTTTCTTTCTTTCTTTCTTTCTCTCTTTCTTTGTCTTTCTTTCTTTCTAACTCTGGGACTTGTAGTTAGAGTGCCTGCCTGGAAACTTTTCTCTCCTGTTGTTATGTTACTGGTTAACAGATCTCTTCTCTAAGCACCTTTCAGAGACCCCCACTCAGACTCAATCAGGTTATTCTGTTTTATTGTGGTCACAGCCATGTGAAGTTACCTTATTCACTTTTTTGTACATTTAATTATCATTTGTTTCTCTCAAAAGAATGTAATATCCATGAGAATTGAGGCCTGTCCACCCTATTTCCTGCTATGTCCCTGACACTTGGAACCATGACACATAATAGGTGCTCAGTATTTGTCAAATGAATGATTTCATAAGTGTATGAATCACATTACTGTCTTTTCTGGTGGGCCTTTGGGATTCTTTGATTCTCACTTAGAGAGAAATCATGATATCTTGATATTCATCAGAAATAATGTATCTACCAATAACTGTCAAACACTTCCAGTCACCTCTGTTATCTCTGTTATTCACTTGACAATCATTAATTGAGTCTCTACCATGTGCTTATGATTATGCTAGGAGCAGACAGAGATATGAAATAAGAATTAGATGAGTTTTTGGCTCTCAGGAGGCCCATGGTTAATGGGACATACAGATATACAACATATGGTGGGATGGATCACTAACATATGGTGAGATAAGAAGAAAAAAAGGGGTCAGCAGGATGCTATGAGAACAAAGTAGGAGAAGTGATGAAACACCTTGCCAATGTGGAAGACTTCATGGAGGTAAGCTGGAAAGATATTCCAGGTAGAGGGAAGGGGATGTGTTTTGTCATCGTGCCATGTTCCCAGAAGAATGAGCAGCTCAGTGTGATAGACGTAGGTGAAGAGATGAGGCTGGCTGTTCAGGCAAAAGACTTATTGAGGCCATCCCTGTGCCAAGCTAAGTAGCGTAGCCTTTATAATAGGGAATGACAAAGAGTTCTAAGCATGAAGATTTCACAACAGGTAAAGCTCATTTAAATTAGTAGGAGTTTCAATTACTTGGGAAAGAATATTCTGCATTTAGTGGGCATTATCCTTGATTCTTTCTCTTTTCTTACGCCTATATGCCGCATATAATGACTAAGCCCTATAACTTGAGCTCCAACATATATCTCTAATAGTCTTATCTATTTCCTTTCATCTTAATTCCCTCTGTTAAGGCAATAATACCTCTTGCCTGGACTATTGCAGTAGTCTCCTAGTTGGTCTTCTCATTTAAATCTTGTTTCTCTTCAATCTATTGTCCACATGGCAGCCAGGGTCATCTTCTAAAATCACGAACAAAAGCATGCCACTCCCCTGCTTAAAACACCACCCACTGCCCTTTGTATAAAATTCAAACTCCCTCAAATGGGGAGGGATCCAGCCTCTGCTGATTATTCCAGTCTATTTTGAATCTCTTCATTACCCAATAGAGAATAGCCAAGTTTGGCCTCCTTTCCATGCCTCAAATACACCAAACTTTTCCTGGCCATAAAGTCTTTACAAGGTGTTTCATCTGCCTGAAATGCTTTTTCACCTACTTCACCTAGTTGGCTCTTCGTCATTTTCAGCTAACAGCTTAAACTTTATCACATTCCCTAATTACTCCATCAAAGTAGGTTCCCCCCTCCTGTGGTAGCCAGCCTCCAAGGTGGTCCTCAGTGATCCCCACCTCCTGGTATTCATGCCGTTATTTAGTCCCCGTATCAGTGTCCAAGGGCTGTCATAACAAGTTACCACAAACCAAATGGCTCAAAACAACAGAAATTTATTTTATCACAGTTCTGGAAGCTAGAAGCGCAAAATAAAAGTGTTGGCAAGACCATACTTCCTCCAATGGCTCTAGGGAAGAGTTCTTCCTTGCTGCTTGTAGCCGATGGCCGCCTACAATCCTTGACACTCTTTGGTTGGTAGATGCATGACTGTAGTCTCTGCCTCTATGTTCACATGGCTCTCTTCCCTGTGTGTCTGTCTCCAAGTCTCTCTCTTCTTATAAGAACACCAACCACTGGACTTAAGGCCCACCATATCCAGTATGACCTCATCTTAACTTGATTACGTCTGCAAACACTTTGTTTCCAAATAAGATCACATTCACAGGTGCTGGGGAGAAACCTCCTGTCAACATCTGGCACCAACTTGCTAGTCACATAAGTGAGCCATCCAAGCTGATCCTCCAACTTTTAGTAAGCCTTCAGTTGATGGTGGCTCAAACCATCATCTTCGCTGCAACTTCCTAATAGATCTTGAGCCAGAATCATCAACCAAAGCAAGTTCTGAATTCCTGGCCCATGGAAACTTTGATATAATAAATGCTTATTCTTTTAAGCCACAGCAGTGGAAAATTAATACACCTCTTATTTTCTGTTTTATGCTCATTATAAAACATGTATTTAATAAATATTGGCTATTATTATTGTTAAATTATTTAGAAAAAATATCTTAGGTATCATATCATTTAAATCTATTTATGATTCATCCTTCCTCAGTTATAACTGCAAGATACGGTAATGTCTAAAGGCCCCTAGAAAGAAATAACTTTCTTGCTAGATTAGTAAAAGAAGACCTACCACTCATTACAAAGAAACAAACCACAGACACACACACAAACATGAATGAATCTCAAAAACGCTCAGCAACACAAGCCAGACACAAAAGAGCACATGCTACATGAGTCTATTTATATAAAACTCTAGAAAGAGACACATCTAATGTAGAGGGACAGAAAGCAGATCAGTGCTTACTTGGAGCCGGGGGTGAAGGGGTAGATTGGCTGCAAGGAGGTACAAGAGAACCTTTCAAGGTGACAGAGATGTTCCATACATTGATTGGTGTGGTCATATGGGTGTACACATTTTCCAAAACTCATCAAACTGTGTCCTTAAAATGCATGCATTTATAATATGTAAATTATATCTGAATTCAGTTGATAAAAAAGTACAATTTTTTTGATCGTTCATTGAACCAAGTGCTTTACATAATTATCTATAGTAAAAAAGCAATAGCCTCATTTTTGGAAAATGGAAATTGATCCTCAGATTAAATGACTTCTTCAAAGCCACACAGTCTTAGGTCCAAACATTTTGCTTGTTTAAAAATGCTTTGTTAAAGTTAAAAAAATTATATGTTATCTAATTCAGGAACGGCAAACACCTAATATTTTCAGGAGCTTAGTATTAAAAGTATATAGGAGGGGGCCAGAGATAAAGCAATAGTGGAAAGTTGGGACTTTTTTTTTCCTTGGAAGTTGAGGGACTAGCCAAATAAATCATGTCCCAGAGTCACAGTCAACCTTTGAATATTCTACAGGTATGGAACCTGAAACTAAAGAGATTAATTAACTTGCCTGTGGTCACCCAGCTACCAAATAGCAGATCTCTTGGGGAGAGAACCAAGTTGATGTAGGTGAAATAGGAGAAAAGATGAAAAGTAGAAAGTCAAATACTTAAAACCCCACTACATAAGAGATGATTACACTTATGTATTTATTTAATTCAAAAATTTGATAGAATACATAGTGTAGCTCATCTGAGTTTTCATGACTGACTCATTTTCCTGTTCATTTTTCATTTCTCAAAGTATTTATTGAGCCATCATTGCATGAAGAGTAGTAGGCTTGGAGACCTACCATCCAGTGTGCTAAGTGTACCATCCTCCTTGAGTTATCCACCTCAGCTCCCATGAGCATCAGCAAGTCAAGCAACTGTTTTTATGACTTTTGTCCCAACTGTACATGTACATGTCCACTTTCCTTGTCTCCAATTATCTATAATACACACTTTAGACTTTATTATATCCCTGTATAATGCTGTCTGGACCAATAATTGTTTTAAATGTGTATGTCTTAACTTCCAACGTAATTTATAAAGAACTTATCCATGTAACCAAATACCACCTGGACCCCAAAAACCATTGAAATAGAAATTAACAAAATGAGAAATTTCTGAGCAATGTAAATGTAAATATTTTAAATGCCTTAATAGTCCCATAGTGCATAGCACAAGGTTAGGCACATGGAAAACTCTCCATCAATTCTTATCAATTGATTATCCTGGTGTCAGAAGATGTCTTAGGTTGTATTCCCCAGAAGCCCAACCTGAGATAAGGATTTGAGGGCAAGTAGTTAATTTGGGATGTGATTCCTGGAAGTGCTGATGGGGACATGAGGAAGTGAGACAAGGAAGGAAAGAAAGTGAAGACCAGGACTGTTCATTCCTGTGTGGGTAATTGGAGTTCAGTTCCACTGGGGACTTCTGGAAAAAGTCTGTTGAATACACCTTTGAGTTGTCTGGCCTGAGGGATATTTATCTACCAATTTCCATTCATCACTGGTTGAGAGCTGTTCTTTGGGCATTAATTTCCCACGGCCTCCTGTGCAAGTGGAGCCTGCTGTAGTGGTCAGGGAAAGCACCTTCAGTAAGTACCAGGTGCCTCAGTAAGACTTCACTGGTGTGCACGGTAGTGAGGAGTTCTAACACGGCATGTCAGGGCACTAACAGCTTCTGCTACATAGCACATTTCAATCAAAGGAAACTTTTTTCATGGAAACATTTATTTAGTGCCAACATTGTGATATACTCTGGAATACAAAATAAATAAAACATGTTCCTTGTCTGCTAGGAACTTAGATCTGTTACTTCTCATTGAAGAACAAGGACAAAAGAAGAGAAAGAAGAAGGAAGAAGGAAGGGAAAATAGCCCAGCCTCCATTCCCATTCAATCTATACTCTCTGATGAAAATTTGATGCTGCTCTGCCTACCAATTCATTATAGTCATCATTACTAAATAGCCATCATGTTTAATGGCTGGTAGTCACTATGAGAGTGGCATGGAGTCAGACAAGAGTTTAGAAGAGTGAGGAGGTATCTTTGTTCACCTCTGGTCCCTAGTGTGTTCCAGGCCTGCTTCATTGAAATTTCTGCATCAATATTTCATTAACTCATACCAAGCATGCAACATGACTTTCTGTGCAAATTAAACTAATATTTGAAATGAAGAAAAACAATCATGGGAGGGGTAGTCACTTACCACAAGGACTCTGCAAAGGAGTTACACAGAAAAGGCAGCTGTATTTTTGTGCTTTTGCCATAAAATGGAGCATTCAGTCTGTTCTGTAAAGTACTATAATTATAAAGCAATTTGCCACCTCTAATGGGAGGACTTTCTTTCATAAAATATTAACGAAATATAATATCGGTGCAATAGGTTAGAAACAGTCTTAGTTTCTCCATAAAAAGTCAATTTGTAACCACTGTGAATGTCTTCTTCAAGATGATGGTAACCAGAAACATCCTCTGTGCCCATTGTCACTTGGCCTTGAATTAAGCACAACACATTTCTCCTGTCCTCCCTCGCTAATTTGAGGCTAAGTGCTTTTCCCTGTAAACATGTTAATTTGCAATGCTGTTCTGTCTTCTCGCCGAGTACTTCTCAACGGAATGCACTGCTATTGCCCAGGCAGTTTTGTTGTGATAATGGTGGCCCCAAAGTCTAAACTGTCAACAAATGAAAAAACTCAAAGCTAAGTTGAAGACACAGTTTGCAAAACTCAAACCTCTTTGTACTGTTGAATTACTTGTGTCTTTTGAAATCATGGAAAGAGATAGTTCTTCTTGTGAGATTGATGTTCTCCAGGCAGGGTTGTTGTCCAGACTGCAAATGCAGGGAGAGATGCCTGGAGTTACCAACTCAGATTTTGCAGGCAAAGGCAAAGGCTCTGGTTGCAAGGAGACAAACAAACAAACAAAAACAACTTTTTTTTCTTTTCTTTTCTACTTATATATTTCCTTATATTCAGGAACTGTTTTTCCTATGCAGCTTGGTTATTATCCTTTTCCATCCGGAGGTAGCAAACCCTCTCTAACTATTAGCCAATTTGTTTTCTAGGGAAAAGAGGCAATCCAAAGTGAAAAGTGAAGATGTTTGTCTCCCAGTATTATTTCAAGCCACTGTGTTATTCTTCACTGACTTCTCAAATTGGAAAGAGAGAGAAAAAAACACACCAAAAACAAAACAAAACAAAACAAAACAAAAATCAAATCCCCAAACACTATTGTTTTTAAAACCATCTTCATTAGACATAACATATAGAAAATCCATATTTGCTTATTTGGAAATTGCCTAAGGGCTGCATCAATTTCCATACATTCCTTTGTTGATCTACAAGTCTTAAATGGATCATCAAACTCTATTAATTGTAGTCAGCAAAATCCTTTTAGTATTCTCATTCTTAGGAGTCTTGAAATTTAGCCAGAAAGTTTTCAAAGAGGATATTTGTTATAGTAAGACCCAGGAACAGAAACATTTATTAGATAAATTCTGAATGAAAGCTGGAAGTAGAACTCTGGCCCTATGTTCCCCTCCAGGGATGTGAATATTTTGCTATAGGTTGGTTGACAGTTGCTATATGTTCTGAATGAATGAATGAGTCCATGAATTTAATCAAATATTCATATTTAAATCTTGGAATTTTTTAAAGCATGTTGCAAACTGGTATTATAGCATAATCTAATATTTAATATATATTTTGTGTATTTAATTATTATTATATTGAACATATTTTTCTTTACTATATACGCCACAAATGTTTATTTATGTCTATATGTGTGTGTGAGTGTGTGTGTGTGTGTGTGTGTGTGTATAGTGAAAAAAAAGTCTAGAGGGGTATACAGAAATATACAACATGATAAAAGTGATTCTTTCTGGGAGATGGGATTCAGTGGTGGGCTTCCTTTTAGATGTGAAAATGGAAAAAAAATTTAGTTGTGAACTATTTCAGATCGCCAGGAATAGAATACAGACCACCATAAGAAACACTCACAGACCACCTCTCAGCTTTATCAAATCTTAACATTATGTCATATTTTGTGTCTTGTCATTTTTTAAAAGGAAATTAACATTTCAGACATAATAAAGACTCTTCATTTTTTCACATCGTGTGTTTCTATAATATTTGAATTTTAAGTAATAAACATATTTATGATCAGCAAAAAAGCAGTAACAACTTTAAAATACATGTCAGCCAGGTCAAACTGAAGAGAAGAGGGTTCTCTCTCTTTCCAAAAACTTTTTCCAAATCTGTTAACAAGAAGTAAGTGATCTTATTTCCGCCTGTCTTTCGGCTCACAGCTGTCTGGCAATTGCAAGTGGCAGGTTGGGACTGAAGAAACGCAATGTCATCTTAGGTGCTGGTGGGTTGGCAAGCCACATGTTCCGATTTATCCCTGTCAGCCGCAGGCCCTATTAACTATTTTTAATGAATCACCACTGCTTTTACTTTTGCCATCAGCCATGACCTTCACCATTTAGAAACACATGGTCTCTCATAAACGATAGCCCACGACATATAAACTTGAGAAGGATTCTATCACAGCTCAAACTACAATATCTATCACTAAAACAAACGGCTCATTCTAGCTGAAGAGACACTCATATATATCACGGAACCAACCTTCCATATTTCGAAATTTACTGCCCCATGTTGGCTGATTTTTTTAAGGAGGCCAGGCAACCTTGCTCACTTAATACTTTTGATAAACTTCTGCTGACAAGGAGTGTGATTAATGATGGTTAAAAGAATTGAATCAAGAGTAGAAAAGACAGAGCCAAAAAAGCAGACTGCTGGGCTGATGGAAACTAACGTCTCTACAGAAATATATGATGGACCCTCCTTTTTTACCATGCCAAGTAATTACTTGCACAGGCCTGTTGTAATAATTCCTATTACAGCCAAAACGGAAAAGTCAGTAACTCACCGCCCTGGGACAAGGTGAAGGCAAGGCCAGAGT
Source organism: Homo sapiens (assembly GCF_000001405.40). NCBI lineage: Eukaryota > Metazoa > Chordata > Mammalia > Primates > Hominidae > Homo > Homo sapiens. The sequence continues at coordinate 30,717,223 of NC_000011.10, read as the reverse complement.
AGCATGGATCAATATTTCATTTACTCACTGAGGTTAGCTTCTATCCCTGTATCAAATTCTTTTACAGAAAGCCATGAAAGAAATGAGGTTTGCTGCAAAACACCAATACAGAGGCCTGTTTCCTTGGGTTGCTTATGAAGGAAGCAGAGCAACAAACCCTTTCAGGGAAACAATATGCACTCAAGGTCACTCATTACTTGCTACTGTTGGAAAATAAAGTGCCATTAGCCTGATATGAGTAATGTACATCAATCAGCTGCAGACCAGAAAAAGTAGGTTTTCAACTTGGTGGTGCTGCTAATAATGAATGATCCATTTGAACACTGTCTACACAATTTGACAATTGTGAAAAAATTTTCTCTTGACAGTGCATCTTTTGTTTTTTAAAAAAATCCCATTAACATTTATCCCTGATTACCTCCTGCCTTAAAAAAAAAAAAAAAGGGAAAGAAAAAGAACAGGGGAAAAAATGCCATAACAATTCCTCTGCCACCAAGAAGTTTTGTACTTTTCTTGCACTTAAATTATAGTTCAACTACAAAATACCCTATAAAACAAAAAATGAAATATATCTTATTGTTTCTTAACAGGTTTCCTTTTACAGAGCTTAAAATGTATGTATCCCATTCTACTCTAAGTATCCTCTGTTGCTTTCTTGGGAAAGGATTCAGTACTAACTAATTTTAGATCATATATGGATATACTGAACTAGGTTGTCCTTGATACTGAATTCTTTCAATTTTACCCTAAAATCACGTTTAAGTAGTCCCAACATCTATGAATCCTATGCTGAATGCAAAATCTAAATGTTTTTTTCTTACTACATTTATTGTTTAGTGTTTTGGGTTAGAATAGACCACAATGTTGCACTGATCTCTTTCTTAAGATTTTATAAGAACCTCTGTTTACAAAGAATATTTTCACTATGCCACACATTTCCATGCAGAATGATGTTAGGGAAATATTCTTGTATTTGCTTTTTTTCCCCACATCTATATAATTTCCAAGTTGCTTTTCTTATAATTCCAGGAAGGAAGAAAACATAGAATGATTGATTTGCTTGCTTAAAAACATAGTCTACTAGCAATAATAACTGGTAACCTTGAACATTTCTTACGGTTTGTGTTTTCAAAGCCATTCTCTACCAGATCTCCCTATTTTCGTGCCATGGAATGAAGTTTAGATCAAGGGCAGGGAAGTCCTTGACTGTTATATGGGCCTTAGATCCATTCTCATCTCCAGAAAGCAAAGGTCAGCTGGGCTCAGAATTGATTCAGGCCAGCAGGACTTGCAGCATAGCCAGTCGACATCTTGGAAGTATTTTCAAGCATTTGGGGTCTGCAGATTTTCCTAAGAATTTTCACCCCTCCTTCACTCCACCCCTTAAACTTGGACCCCAGGAGTATTTCAAGGGAAATTCAATCCATATGTGCCTGATTCGTGTTCACTTAACTCATTGACATGTTGTTTTCCAAGAGCTGATTGATGTACAAGGAGTCTTCTGACCTTTTTTCCTGAACCTTGCAGAACTGCCATTCTTTGAGCTGGAAAATTGCCTTTTACTTGGGGTAAGTAGCACTTTTGAGAGTTGAAAGTTTTAAACTCAGCTTGAAACATAGTTCCCAAATCTGCGTGGGATTCTGGGTTTGACAAATGTGGCCTCAATACCTTTGTATAAAGTCCTTTCTTGCCTCATATTTTTTTTCATGTGTGACACCCGTAGCTAGAGAAAAAAAATACAAAGATTGTGATAACTTTCACAGCATCCAAGCAGGTATCTTTGGAAGTTGTAGCATCACTCCAATGGTTTAAGATGTCCAAGTCCATCTGTTCTCTTGAACCACCCTTCACCTGCCTTGATTTCTTTCATGTGGTCTCAACCCAAAGAACTTCCTTTGCCAAGTTTTAAATGTGTAATAAAGGCAGCAGCTGACTTTAAACCCTGCTTTGATTCTGTTGGGCAACATCTCAGCTTGGGTTAGGTTCCCTGGCAAAGTATTCCAGTAGACTTTCATAATACTGCCCCTTGGAACTCATCCTAAATTATGCCCCTAAATCATAAAAGTTATAAAGACAAGCTACTCCCTCTATCACTTCTGCTAAGTTAAGAGGGAGCTGTGATGGGGGCTGTGCCTCTGCCCATGGACAACTGTTAATTGATCTAGAATAGCTAAAATAAAACATGAAAGAATAGTCTGTTAGCTCTTCTAAAACTCTGGATAGAGAGGCTTAATTAGGGCATACAACAGAAATCTACAAACCCAAATGCCTATGGGAGCCAAACAAGAAGTGTAGATCGGTGAAGCCGATTGAGTGAGGACTGTTTTAAATGGAGAACCCACAGCTAAAGGAACAGCCAATGTCCAGACACAGCCACTGTAAATTGTCTCTGGCTTGGTGTTGCTAGGTCTCTTTGTTTTTCAAGAGAAGGTAGAAATCCCCTAATTGCAAATATTTGTGTCTAATTCACATATGGAAAGTCCTGTTTATCAGCCAAATTTAGCCTACCAACTACAAATATGTGCTATCCAAAGTTACAAAGGGAAAGAGGAATAACACCTAATATTTACTGGGCAATTCTTGTATGCTAGAAACTATGCTAAGTGCTTTATAGACATTATTTCATTTGCTTCTCACCATTTTCCTACCACATGGATATTATTACTTTTCTCAGTCATAGCAAGAGAAAACTAAGATTTGGTGTCTTTTTTAAGAAATACAGATTCTTGGGTCTTTCTCCCAGACCTACTAAATTAGAATCTCTAGGCATGAAACCCCAGGTGACTGGAATGTTCACCAATGCTGGAGAACCACTGCATCATGCTATGTCAAAAAATGTATGCACTGAGCTTTAGAAAGGATCTGGTGCAACTCCTCAGTTTATAAATGAGGCACTATCTCTCTCTCTCTCTTTTTTTTTTTTTTTTTTTTTTGGACAATGTCTCACTCTTTCACCCTTCTAGCACCATCTTGGCTCACTGCAACCTCTGCCTCCCAGGCTCAAGTGACCCTCCCACCTCAGCTTCCTAAGTAGCTCGGACTACAGGCACATGCCACCACACCTTGCTAATTTTTCTATTTTTTGTAGAGACAGGATCTCAATATGTTGCTCAGGCTGGTCTCGAACTCCTAGGCTCAAGTGAAAGTGATCGTACCACCTTGTCCTCCCAAAGTGCTGGGATTACAGATGTGAGCCACCTGGCCTGGCCAAGAGAGAAACCAACTTGCTCAAGCTTAGACAATTGAGTCAGGACTAAGTTTGAGAGCATCTGTGATAACTTTCAGAGCATCTCTTCAAATATAAGAAGCCAAGCCTCTGGGAAATAATAGCAATACTAGTATCCCAGGTACCCATCTACTGAGGACCTATCCTGTACAGGCAGTAGACAATAATGGTAACATCCTCACTTCAGCTTCATAGAAACTCTAAAGCAGACATTATTGCCTTCATATTATAAACGAGGAAACAAGCTCAGAGGAGTAAAATGGCTGTCAAGGTCATGCAAATGAAAGTAAAGAGTTAGGTCTGTTTTTAAATTCAAGTGTGTCTGCTTCCGAATCCAGAGCTCTTTTCATTATGCAACAAGGACAAATGCTGCTGGGTCCTTCACACTGAATGCTCATGGAACTGTAGCTATTAAGCAGAAGATATGGAGAGCACATTCAAGGAATCTCAAGATGATGATGATGGCCATGATAGTGGTGATAACTGGGAGAGGAGGAAGAAGAGGAGGAGCCATTGTCAGGAATCCTCAAATTGTCGAGAGGGAAATCGATTGGTAAAATCACTAATGAGGTGAATGACCTAGCGGCAGAGGCCACTCCTTCCACTTTGGAGATTGGCATCCTCATCTTCCAAGTGAAGGAGATTTTGATAGGTAATCTTTATGCTCATTTCCAGTTTGAAAAATCCGTAACTCTAAGTGGAGGAACAAGTTGAGTCATATGTATTTATGCAAACCTAAAAGGAGACATGAGTGCTTTGACCTGCCAAGGCAGTCCAGGCTGCTTATGCCACAGAACCAGCCCCAGGGGATCTGGCAATGCCACTGTGAGAAGACTTGCTTTTAGCCTTAGAATCCTCCACCAAACATCTGGAAAGAAAACTGCAGCTGAGGTCAGCTTATCAGGTCCCCTATCAAGGAGGCAGCCTCGTCTGGCCCTTGAGTGTGTCTTTTGACCCTCAGGCCTGGGGATTGGCTTCTATTGCTTTCTTTGGCCTTCTCTTCCTCCCAATCTCTATGCCACCATCCTCTCTTCAAATACAGGAAGCCAGCTCCTTCCGTGATGGAGTAAGCATTCCATTCAAGGTCAAGGCAGTTGGACCTCTGCTGTACTTAGTTCAAGCTCCAGCCAAAGGCCAGAATCAATACCACAAATCACTGCCCAAATGACAACAAGGAGGCTCTTGTCCATTTGCTCCCCTTGTGAAAATGCTATTTCTAATGCCTAGCAATTTCATTAAGTCAGTTTCATTAGCCTGTGTTTCCTTAAGAGGTCTGCACTAAAGGCTGTCTTTGGCACCAGACAGAACAGGTCCCTGCAACAATTACCTGAGTAATACATAGCTCCTCAGGGGTGTCTATGTGTTTACAAGTGGCTGTGCCTCAGGACAAACAGCCCTCTCAATATTCAAAAGCATTCTGAACAGAAAAGAGATCAAAGGCATTATAGAGGAAACATCTATCTCTGCCGAATGTATCAAGCTCTATGAATCTGTTCTTACACAATGTCAAAGCAGTTCAATATAAATGTAACTTGTCATAAAGTTATCTTTTGTGGAAAAGAAATGTTGCCATTCAAAAACACATAAAGCCCCAGCTTGCCTGAAATGGTGCATACATACTACATCTTCAGAATCCTACAACTAAATCAAATCAGTATGAGGCAAAAAGACTGAGTCTGAAAAGTTTAATTTCTGTGCCTACTGAATACCCAAATAAAGAGAGAGGGCTTTAATCTCTGCAAGCTTCTGCGTTTAAAGAGTAAAAGAGATTTATTCGTCCCTCCCATTTTCTCAAAAGGCTATTTTGTTTTGGTTTTTAATAGTTCTGCTGCTAAGTGTGCACACAATACATAGAGTTCAAGAAGGAATTTCTGATCTCAAGTCTAGGATTTAAAATAGATGAAGAATTTCATTACATTGTTTGGATATTTCAGTTATTATAAGTTGTACAAAAATATTCATTAAAAGATGGTTGATAATATTGAAAAACTGGAAACAACCTATGTGTCTATCTAGCAATAGAGGAACAACTAGATGAGCTATGGTGTAGCTATGTTATTTATCTAAACAGGGCAGAGAGCAGCCACAAACAAGTGTACAGGCTGTTTACTACACAACTCCATAGGGTACCACGTGCGAATGATGGCCCCATTGTGGCCACTATTGCAACATTTTAAAGAATGAACTAGATTGAAATGTACTAATATGAATAGGTTTCCAATAAATGTTATAGAGGGAAAGAAAGTTTTAGAATAGTATATTGTATGCTATTATTTTAATTAACATACACTTGAAAAACAATAATGCACGTGGGTGTACATACATATATATGTATATATATGTATATATGCACATACATATATACATATATGTATATATGTATATAAATATATATGTGTATATATATATAAAATATATATATACACACACATATATATATTCTGCTCCCAGAGAGCAGAAACTGTCTCTATAGAATTCTTTCACCTCTAACAACTAGCACAATGAATACCACAGAAAATTGTGAATTAATGATCTCATTAATTCATCAGTTCATTTGATCCACGAATAGTTAATGAGCACCTACTCTGTACTCTCATAATAAGTTAGGGAACACAACCCAAAGAGCTTACATTCTATGAATGGAAGAATGAATGAATATAAGCTGAGAGAAATCATCTAGAGACATAAAATCCATTTCAAAAACTCTCCCAAATATATAATTAATCTATTTTAAAGAATTTCATGCCTTAGAAATTCCACTATTTTGCCAATCATTTCCATAGTTAGCATAACTTTTTTCGATTTTGTGACCATTTTCTTTTCTTTTTTCTTTTCCTTTTTTAAAAGTACTGTCTACATTTATATTTTAAACTCAGTAAAAATCTAGTAGATTCTCTCCTGGATTTTATCCTTTCGTTATAAATCAATTCTTTAAAATACCTGTCCTTTAATGACACTTTGTATTGCTGCACAATTCTACTTCATCACAGTAATAATCTCTCACAACAGCATTGCTCTTTATATTTTACCAAATACTTCTATACATTATTTTTATGTGATCCTAAATATAATTTTCATTTGCTTCTAACAGAAAATCAGTGAAGTGAGCAGTATTTGTTTAATAGACCTATGGGCTAAGGCTCAGTGGAGTTAAGCAACTTGCCCAAGGTTAAAGAGCTAGGAACTGGTAGCATCAGAACTGGAACCCAGATCTTTTGAGTTCTAAGACAAGACTCACTCATTTTATCATGTCTGCACACTTAGTACAAGAGTTCTGGGGCAAAAAGACCTAATTATTTTAAGAAACCATGTTTATTTGAAAGATGAGACAACTACAACTCAAGGGAGAGCATATAGAGTTCTAAACGTGCATGCTTTCTCCAAGCCAAGGTGTGTTAAACATCTAAATTGGAGTTATGCACGCTCGGTTAATATCTATGGCTTTTTTATGCTTACCATTGAGATTTCAATTCATGAAGGCAGTAACGACAACAGCGAAGACAGTTTCTTAAGGCTTTTCCTGCACTTCTGTGCCCTCTATTTGATCATCTGCCAAGGTTTGTGAATAGTGCCAAATCAAACAGCACAGCATCTCTATGAGGCTCCTCCTGGGAGTTAAGGAATTCTGCAGTTGGAGCATGGGTTAAGATATAAAAGGCACAATTATGTTTTTCTTTGAAGAGTTTAGAGGCAGACAATGTTAATCTATTCTTTTGGAATTTCTGGTGCTAAACTGCCTTCATTAAACAGCCTCTTCACTTCCCTTTGCTTTTCTGGCCAGGTTATCCTGCATTAATATAAACATCCTAAAATAAGGAGGAATACAGTGATCTGATTCTTTTGAGTTTTCTCAATAAGAAGATCATACATAAGCATCAAAGGAATAAGAACTTGATTTCCATTTGCATTCTAAATTACCAAAGAAAAAACGTTAGAGTTTTCTCATACTCATTTTGTGCATTGATTTCTAGTGATCTCTTTTCCCTTGCTTATGTTTGTCTGAATTCAATACCAGGATAGTGTGTTAAGCATGATGTTATTCTTTTTTATTTAATGGTAATTAATTATAAAAATTGTTTTGAAATATATTTGAATTTTCTCTTCAAAGATGCTTTCTTTTCTTGCTATTTAACCTACTAATTTTCTATTTGGCTTCATGATCTAATTTTTGTTAATCTTGAGAAAATTAGCAAAATTAATGCAAATTTTGGATATTGTAATAATAGCATGGGATTAGTTACAAATGCAAGCAGATACACCTTTTAAGTGTAAAGAACCGAAAAGCAAAGTGTTTATAGTTTTATCATTGGCTGTTTGGTTTTTCTTATAAAGTATGTGTTTTATATCAGTAATCATCAGCTAAAATGTTTTTAAAGAAAACATAATTATAAGAGGCCGAGGCAAGAAGATCACTTGAAGTCACGAGTTTGAGACCAGCCTGAGCAACATAGTGAGACCCTGTCTCTGCAAAACTGTTTAAAAATCAGCTGAGTGTGGTAGTGCATACCTGTAGTCTGAGCTACTTAGGAGGCTGAAACAGGAGGATCACTTGAGCCCAGAGTTCGAGGCTTCAGTGAGCTGTGATTGTGCCATTGCATTCCAGCCTGGGCAACAGAGTGAGACTCAAGAAAGAAAGAAAAAAAGAGAGAAAGAAAGAAAGAAAGAAAGAAAGAGAGAGAGAGAGAAAGAAAGAAAGAAAGAAAGAAGAGAGAGAGAAAGAAAGAAACAGAAAAAGAAAGAAAGAAGGCGAAGAAAGGAAGGAAGAAAGAAGGGAAGGAAGGGAGGGAGGGAGGAAGGGAGGGAAATAAAAAAATAAAAAATAAATAGGCCAGGCATGGTGGCTCACACCTGCAATCCCAGCCCTTTAGGAGCCAAGGTGGGTGGATCACTTAAGGCCAGGAGTTCGAGACTAGCCTGGTCAACATGATGAAACCCCATCTCTACTAAAATTACAAAAACTGCACTCCAGTCTGGGTAACAGAGCAAGATTTCGAACAAAAAAAAAAAGAAAGAAAGAAAGAAAGAAAAAAGCAAGCATGCCTAGCTTTGCTTTCTTTAAAATAAGTTTACTTTTAATTATTATGGGTACATCATAGTTATATATATTTATGGAGTACTTGTGATGTTTTCATGCAGGCATACAATATGTAATGATCACATCAGGGTAATTGGGGTATCCATCACCTCAAGGATTGATCATTTCATTAGGTGAGGAATATTCCAATTTTATTATTTTAGTTATTTTAAAATATACAATAAATTATTGTTAACTATAGTCATGTAGTCACCCTACTGTGCTACTGAATACTAAATCTTATTCATTCTAACTGCATTTTTGTACCTATTGACCATCCTTTTGTTTTTTTATCTCCCCCTCCTTGCTACCTTTCCCAGCCTCCAGTAACCATCTTTCTAGTCTCTATCTCCATTAGCTCAATTGTTGTTTTTTTTTTTTAGCTCACACATTTGAGTGTGAACATGCAATATTTGTCTTTTTGTGCCTGGCCTGTTTCACTTAATATAATGATCTTCCATTCCATCCGTGTTGCTGCAAATGACAGGATTTCATTCTTTTTATAGCTGAATAGTATTCCATTGTGTATATATGCCACCTTTTCTTCATTCATTCATCCATTGATGGACACTTAGGTTGATTATATTTTGGCTATTGTAAATAGGGCTGCAAACAAACATGGGAGCGTGGATATCTCTCTGATACACTAATTTCTTTTCTTTTTGATATATACCTAGCAGTGGGACGATTGGATAATATGGGGGGTCTATTTTTAGTTTTTGAAGAAACTCCATGCTATTTTCCATAGTGGATTAGTGGCTACAGTAATTTATATTCCCACTAACAGTGTATGAGGGTTCCCCTTTCTCCACATCCATGCCAGCATTCATTATTGTCTGTCTTTTGGATAAAAGCCATTTTAACTGGAGTAAGATGATACCTTTTTGTAGTTTTTATTTACATTTCTTCATCAGTCAAATTTTTTAATAAAATGATACTAGTCTTTGCCATAAATATTAGAGGAACCAAAAAAAAAAAAAAAACAAAGTCCTGAAATCTAGTATTTAAATTTTAATTTTGTGACAAGATGGGCTAGATGCTTACCAAACCCATTTCCTCTTCCTGGGTGTAGGAATAAGATAAAGGAAAACTCTTCCTTACTGTAGAAATATAGTTAATAAAGGTACAAGAGAAAGGAAATAGACAATTACAATTAAGCAAACACCATAGTAATAATTGTGTGTCATAAAAACAAGATCCATCAATGAATGCCAAAATCAGTAGGTGGAAGTTTGAAGAGAAACACTTTCTATAGCCTCAAAATGTGTCCTCTAAGATCTTTAGTAACTACAAAGAGAAAGATAGTAAGTTTACAGTGGTGAAATGCAGCAGACACCAACTTAACCAAGCAATCAAAGTCAACATCACTGGTAATAAAGACATTAATATTATGAACCCAGATATAATGCCCTGAGAAAGACACAACATCATTTCTCCCTCTTGGGTAAGGTCATGTGATGAATTATCACCAGCAGGAGATGAGTGAAGGTCCTGTGCCACTTTCAGGCTCAAACAGTCAGGCAAGGCCCATCTCCTCCACACAGTGGTTTCCAAACTGCAAGCTGGATTCCTATGTGCAGGGACAAAATGTGTTGAGGATGGCAGAGCTTTGTCATCCTCAGTCATTGGATGACATCATATAGCAGAGTCACCAAAAACTGTGTTGAACTGTATCATGAGTGAGAAATAACCTTTTGTTATATTAAACTCTTGAGATTCAGGGATTCAGATTAACTCTTATAACAGTTAATTTACTCAGATTAATTCTATCCATTTATATTCAACCTCTGGTTGTATCTCCCTTAAATTTAGTGTTATAATGGATTTTTAATAACAAATTTTAAGAAAATTGAAAGACATGAAACAAAAATCACCTATATGTCACAAAATATTTTGAACACACAGAAAATAAATATACAATATGCAGGAACATTGTAAACATGGTAATAAAACAACAAGTCAAATTAGTGAAATACTACTAATTTGTTTCTGTCAAATCGATTCATTAAAATGGTTATAGTACATGTGGGTGAATGCATGGCAAAATAAGGACATTTATATTCAGTAAGAAGTATAATTGTTGCATTATTTTGGGAAACAAATTTAATAATATATATTAAGACCTTTAAAAACGTGCATCCCTATTCACCCATAATTCCATTACTAAGAATTTATTCTATAGAAATAATTATTGATGTCATGTACAAGAATGTTATCTTAGCATTGCCTATTTCAAAGGTGGACAGATTACAGTCTGTAGGCCAAATCTCATCTGCCATCTGTGTTTGTAAATAAAGTTTTATTGGAAGACAACCACAACCATTCATTTACATATTGTCTATGGCGGTTTTTGCATCAGAGCTGGATTTATAGCTCTTCTTTGTTAGAAAGGGTGTTGCAGACACAAGGCTATCTATTTACTAGCTTGCCAATGTCTGAGCTTTGCATAATCACATTTGGACAGAAACTCCCATAACAGCCACTAGCTCCCTGAGGGCACTCCTGTTGCTCTGGACATGCTTTGGAGAGGCCAAGTGTGCTTTAGAGTAACTTTATTTTCTCCTTGGATTCCTATGTCTAGATCCATTTAAATCTTTCTGCTTAGCTATGTTACATTTGCAAATATGTCTTTCTGATTCGTCTACCCACAGATCACCTGTAAGGATCTGTCAATGGTTAAATTTTATTAGTCTAGATATGCTACTTCAATTCAACAAGTAGGTTATGTAACCTCCATGTAATTGCTGAGGAGGGAAAATGTATGTTCAATGTCATGGCTACAGAGAGAGGAAGGAGACTGTTTTCATGTGAACTTCTTGCAGCTGCATAAACAGAAGGAAGCAATTATGAATCTCAGGTGTGGAGCCAAGAATTCTAAATCCTAGAAATGGAGTTGATGGAGGAAAGATTGAGGATGATCATAAGTGCATTAAAATGAGATATATGGCCAAAAGAGAAAATATGGTTATTCAGACAAACTGACACAGCATCTTCACTATTTTATTTTAGAAGGTCAGCTTTTATCTCAGACTAGCCAAATCAGATAAGGCAATAAATGCCAAAATGCTTTGCACACCATAAAGTGCTAAAGGAAATAAGGGTTAAAATTCATGATGCCTGGTTTTAAAAACAGCTATGGGTGCATTTTTAACATTTTTAGAGTAGTCTGTATGATAAATTAAAATATATAGATTAAGAGCTAGAAACTGATTCACTAATCTATTTAAAAGTACATTTTACATGGTTTACTCCATTTTCACAGATTTTTAGGAGAACTACTCTAAGCCTAAATTCTCTGTTACTTCCTTTTTGCCTCCTTACCCACGAAGGAAATGACATGTACAAGAACACCCTAAAGCAGGGTCTCTACTGAACAGTGGGGTTGAATAACTTGGTAAAAGCTTTATGTCAGTTCCCACCTGGAAATAGTTTAGAGCTTTAGAGCCTAGTTATTTGTTATAATCTGAATGTTTGTGTACCCCCTAAATTCATTGGTTGAAATCCCAACCCCTAATGTGATGGTACTAGGGGGTGGGGCCTTTTGGGAGGTGATGGGGTGATGAAAGTGGAGCCCTCTTGACTGGGATTAGTGCTCTTATAAAAGAGATCCCAGGGAGTGGCCTTGTCCCTTCCACCATGTGAGGACACAGCGAGAAGCTGAGGCCCTCACCAGACACTGAATCTGCCAGCCCTGAAAATTTGAACTTCCCAGCTCCAGAACTGTAAGAAACACATTTCTGTTGTTTATAAGCACCACAGTTTATGGTATTTTGTTTAACAGCCTGAACGGACTAAGACACTATTCAAGGGGTTGTCTGCATGCCAGCAGAAATAGCACCACCTATGAGCTTGTTAGAAATGTAATATCTCAGGCCCCATTTCAGTCTCACTCCATCAGAATCTCCATTCATCGTTTCTTTTCCTTTTTTTTTTGAGACTGAGTCTCACTTTGTCACCCAAGCTGGAGTGCAGTGGTGTGATCTCACTGCAGCCTTCTAGGCTCAAGTGATTCTCTTGCCTCAGCCTCCCAAGTAGCTGGGATTACAGGTGTGTGCCACCACGCCCAGCTAATTTTTGTATTTTTAGTAGAGACAGGGTTTCACCATGTTGGCTAGGCTGGTCTTGAACTCCTGACCTCAAGTGATCCACCCACCTCAGCCTCCCAGAGTGTTGGGATTACAGGCTTGAGCCACCATGCCCAGCCAGAATCTGCATTGTAACAGGATCACAGGTAATTCACATGCACTTTCAAGTTTAGAGCACCCTACAAGAAACCTCTCAGAAGAAAGAGTCTATTGGGACAACAGACCAAGAAATAGTTATGTTCCTATTATAATGGCCATTGGATGAGAAGAACTTAGCAGGATTCCTAGCACATATTCATTCACTTGTCATGCATTTATGAGCAGTGTTATGTGCCAACTACTGTGCTGGTACTGGGAACGAAAAGTTTAAGAAGAATTGGTCATGCTCTCATATTTCACATCCTTGGTTAGCATTTAGTCACCCAGATTCTCCCCTGGTGATATCTGCCTAAGGTCACCATCTATTTCCTTCTCCAGAAAATTGATGACATTAATAACAGCAAATATTCATGGATGGCTTGATCTTTGTCAAGCGTTGTGCTGCACTTTAAATACATTCAGCTGTTGTTTTGCCCACTCTCAATTTTTTTTGTAGTGATGTAACATCACCTTTTTTGCTTGAAAGGTGCTGCCCTTCACCCTTTTCCTGTCCATACTATTTGAGTGAGGCTGACACAACCAACTTCCTCCAGGATCAAGCCAATCTGAGAATTCTTTCTCTTGGTCTCAGTCTAGAGTACATGACCCAGGAGTTACAAATGAGATTCAGTCCTGGGACTTTTTCTGGAACTATGAAAAAGAAGTACTGTTTTTTAGCTTCTGGTGATCATCTTTGCCAACACATGAAGAGAAACTACTTGAAATTAAAGCCTATCCAAAGAACAGCTCAGCCAAGAGTTGGAGAAAAGACAAATTTTGAATACATTTATTGAACATCTTTATCCAACCATACGTAAAGCCAGCCTTTCACTTTCAATTTCCTGTTGCATGAATTAATACATTTCCTTTGCGTTTTTGTTAGAGTTGGATTTTTTGGGGGACCTTCAACTCATGATATCCTGACATTGCACATACACGTTTTCATTTAATCTTTACAATATGCCCCAAAATAGATAGTATTAGTGTAGTCATTTTCCAGATGAAGAAACTGAGGCTCCGAGAGGTTAAGTATCTTGCTCAATAATACATAGCTGACAGATGGCAGACTAAAATTTAACTCTCAGAATACCTCAGTACAAAAATTTACAATTCATCAGTACCATTGTGAGTATTGTTTACTGTCTGGAATCATTAAACTCTACATTTGAGAAAGATTGAAAAGAAGTAAATATTGTAGAAACTCACTCTAATGGTCTCTATGCTATGAAAATGTATCCCTGAAAGACTGCTGGAATAACTGGTCCATTGCTCACCTTTCTTAACTGAACCTCCTTGAGCAGAGTTTATTACAGACCTCATCTTAATTCAGTCTGTGCAGTAATGGGTTGCAGGTTTATGGCGACAACCATGGGTAATTTACCCTAAGGTCAAAGCCAGCTCAAGGTAAACTTGGGAAATTACACAAACTTTTTAGCTTCATAGTTCTACTTCTCCCATGCTTTTCCATTTCCCATTTCCCAACAATGACACCCATCTCTAGCACATTTTTCTTGGGACCTAATTTAAAAATTGTAAAGAAAAGAATCACACTATTTTTCATCTTAATTTTTTTTTTAAATTTAAGAGGAAAAGCAACCTTTAAATTGTGGGTTATCTAGTTTAAAGCTACAGTAATGAACTATTAATAGTGGAAATCTATGATCAGGGAAGGCAACATCTACCGTGATTTCTGCAGTCATAGCCCTGACTCCATCTATCCCTAAGGCTAAAACTGAGCAGGTCTGTGAATACTTTGAGACTGCAGGCAGTCATGCTAAACAGAGCCAACCTTATTGGGTAATGCTCATTTAAATAAATTAGATCATAATTTTGCCCTTTGGGGGAGGAAGTGGAAGTCCAAACAAGGAATTGATACGGAACTTTCCTAGCTCTTATGAAAAAGAAAGATAGAGAATTTTGCAAGGAAGTACCATTTATTAAAATGAGCTATCAATAGAAGCTCTTACCAGTCAAAAGAAGGAAAAAGCACTTGCAACACCAGTGTGTCTGTGCTGTTCGTCACCTATATCCCAACCCCTTTCAATCTCCCATCCTGCTGCTGCTCCACTTCCAAAACAATTTGTTAATATGTCTGTTCTGCAGACCTGCTCTGCATTTGCCAGACTGAATCCTCAAATGCTTTATTCATTTATAGGTGAGGTTAGCTGGAACTACATGAGAAAAATCAAATTTAATCTACTTCTTCCAAGTACACTAGGAGAAAAAGTCAATGCATAGAAATGTCCCTTCTTAATAAGGAAATTCTTTTTTCTTAGTTGTAGCCATAACCATTATCAAAATGTGTATATAAATATATGTATATATTTTTCATCTTTAATTTCATTCAATATAAATATGCATTCATTTATTTATTTAACAAACATTTATCAGTGCCTGCTCTTAGTGAGACATTGTATATGATGTACTGTATAAAAACATGGAAATTGGAGAGTTCCAGGCTGTGCCCTTCTTTTATCCAACAAATATTTATTGAGCACTTAAATATGAGCAAGGAACTATTGGACAGAGTGATGAGTAACTTAGATAAATTATCTGCTTTCTTAGAATTTACATTGTGGTGGAAAGACCAGTCATAAAGGGAAACCTTAACAAAGTAAGATAATTCTAGTAAGTGATAAGAAAATAAAACAAAATAATAGAATATTAAGTAACCTGGGGAAGAGGGATAACTTTACTTGCAGGTGGTACAAGAAAGTTCCTCTGAGAAAGTTTCAAGGAGTCTTATAATAGATTATTTATTGTTCCCAAATTCTTGCTCTGTTTCCTGGAAGATTACACATCCTTACCATGTGACTTGCAGTGTCTTCTATAGGAGAAGTTTCCTTCCCTATCACGTCAACACCAGGCTTAGCCAGGTGACATGCTTCAACCAATGAAATGTGAGCACGAACACCAGCCTGCCAGCTCCACAGAGAAGCCCTGAGAGCCATCATTTGCTATTGAAAGCTGGCTTGTTCTCTTCCCTCAGCAAATTCCATACTGGGTTTTCTCTTCGAGCCTGACTCCTGGAATGAAGAAGACGTAGGGAGCAGATCCACAGCTGACTCGGAGTTAATGGATGGGCCATGAAGCATACATGAGAAATAAAAGTATATTTTTGAGATACAGTATAACCTGGTCTGAGCTGACTAAGAAATTCTGCTGAACAATGAGAAGGAGCCAATTTTGAGAAGATCAGGGGAAGACACATGTGTGTGTGCGTGTGTGTGTGTGTTTGTATGTGTGTGTAGTTGAGAATTCATCTGACATGCTCAAGGAAAAGAAAAAAGCCAGCATGGGTGGCAGAGGGTTGGAAATGACATAGGAGTGGTAAGAATGAGCTCCTGGTGCAAATCTTTGCAGTTCAGGGTAAAGAGTCTGAACTATATCATTCCTTCAAAAACCTTTAAAAAGATCTAAAAGTTGTCTTTAAAACAATTTTTACACATCACCTTGTATTTCATGTTTTTTAACTTTTTATTTTGAACACATTTCAGACTTACAGAAAAGTTTCAACAATTGCGGAGAGACTTTCCGTATAGCCCACATCCAGCTTCTCCTATCCATATCCACAGTACAATGATCAGAACCAGGAAATTAACAATGATATGGTTTGGCTGTGTCCCCACCCAAATCTCATCTTAAATTGTAGTTCCCATAGTCCCCATGTGTCTTGGAAGGGACCTGGTGAAAGGTAATTGAATCATCTATTGGGGTGGTTACCCTCATGCTGCTGTTCTCGTGATAGTGAGTGAGTTTTCATGAGATCTGATGATTTTATAAGGGGCTTTTCCCCCTTTTGCTTGGCACTTCTCCTTCCTGCTGCCATATGAGGAAGAATACCTTTGCTTCCCCTTCCGCCATCATAAGTTTCCTGAGGCCTCCCCAGCCCTGTGGAAATGTGAGTCAGTTAAACCCCTTTTCCTTTATAAATTACCCAGTCTCAGGTATATCTTTATTAGCAGTGTCAGAACGGACTAACACAAACACTAACTCAACACTATTAAATAAGCTACAGGTTTTATTTGAATCTTATTCCTTTTCCCATTCATGTTGTTTTTTTAAGTTCAGGATCTTGTCCAGGGTCTTACTTGGGATACTACATTGCATTTGGTTCTTCTTTTTCCTTAGTTGCTGCACTTCACATTTTTAAGGGTTTCTTTTTTGTCTTTTTTGATCTTGAAATTTTGAAAAATATTGGTCAGATATTTTGTCAAGTGTCTCCCAACTTGGAGTTGTCTGATGTTTTCTCATGATTGGAATGAAGTTATGGATTTTGGCACAAATACCAAAGAAATAGGAAATGTTAATTGGTATAGCCATTATGGAAAACAGTAGGGAGGTTCCTTTAAAAACTAAAAACAGAACTACCGTATGACCAAGCAGTCTGGATATATACCCCATGGACATGAATCAGACCTCAGAGATAGATAACTTTGCTTCCATGTTCATTGCAGCATTATGCATAATAGTCAAGCTATGGAAAGAACCTAAGTGTCTGTCGACATTTCAATGAGTATATATATGCAATGGAATTTTATTCGGCCTTCAAAAAGGAAATCCTGCCATTTGCAACAAAATGGGAGACATCACACTAAATGAAAGTAGCCAGACAGAGAATGAAAAACACTGCGTGATCTCACTTATATGTGGAATCTAAAAAAGTTGAATATATAGAAACAGAGAAAAGAATAATGGTACCAGGGGTGGAATGTAGGGGGAATATATGGAGATGTAGGTCAAAGGATACAGAGTTATAGTTATGCAGGATGAATAAGTCTAGAAATCTAATGAACAGCATGGTGACTATAATGAACAGCATGGTGACTATAGCTAATAATATTATATCTTATACTGGAAATTTGCTAAAGGAGTGGATTTTAGGTGTTCTTACTACAAGAAAAAAAGTAACTATGTAAGGTGATGTATAAGTTAATTTGCTTGGTGGTCATAATCATTTCACTGTATATGTCTATATCAAAATATCATGTTGTACACCTTAAATATATGCAATTTAAATATATATATATGTGTGTGTGTATGTATATACATATGTTTAACTCTGTATCCTTTGACCTACATCTCCCCATATTCCCCCTACGTTCCACCCCTGATAACCATTATTCTTTTCTCTTTTTCTATATATTTGACTTTTTTAGATTCCATATATATATATGATTTTGACTTTACTTGGTTAAGTTGGTGTCTGCTGCATTTCACCACCGTAAACTTACTATCATTCCTTTGTAGTTAGTAAAGATCTTAGGGGACACATTTTGAAGCTATAGAAAGTGTTTCTCTTCAAACTTTCACCTATGAATTTTGACATTCATTGATGGATCTTGTTTTTATGACACACAATTATTACTATGGTGTTTGCTTAATTGTAATTGTCTATTTCCTTTCTCTTGTACCTTTATTAACTGTATTTCTACAGTGAGGAAGAGTTTTCCTTTATTTCTCATTTATTTATTTAAACAAGCATTTATTTATGTTAGTGTGGACTTATAGATATTTGGGGTATTCTGTAGGTTATAATCCAATATTGTCATTTATTTCGTTACTCAAATTGTTCTAGATTTGGCTCTTGTTTTTTCAGTCAGCCCCCATCTTTTAGTGAACATTTCCTTACATTCTGCTAGCACAAGATATTCAGGTTCATTTTGTATTTTTCTGACCTTAGCCCTGGAACTAACCATTTCTCCTGGGGGCCCTGGTTCCTTTCATTGGGGAATGGTGTTTAGAAACCAAGATCTGAGTGCTGCATGTGCATTACTACTGGGATGCCATTATTTCTAAGCCCCCTTAGCAGACAGAGTTAGGAAAGATATTTGTGTACTTTAACCCACATACATGCCATATCTGTAGTTCTCTATCTATGTATCTATGTACATATGTGTGTATGTATGTATCTATCTGTCTATATCTATCTATATGTTAGAAAATATATTTGTGTACTTTAAGCCATATACATACCATATCTGTAGTTCTCTATATATCTATCAATCATATCTATATCTATCTATCTACATCTACATCTCTATCTATCTATCTAGCCATGACTTTATGCTGATACATCAGATTCCAGTACAACACTACAGTGTTCTCTGTAGTCCAGGGCTCCCCAACCCCTGGGCCTTTGATCGGTACCCTGTCCATGGCCTGTTAGGAACTGAGCTGCACAGCAGGAGGTGAGGGAGCATTACCACCTGAGCTCCATGTCCTGTCAGATTAGGGGTGGCATTAGCTTTTCATAGCAGCACGAACCCTATTGTGAACTGCACATGTGAGGGATCTAGGTTGTGCGCTCCTTATGGGAATCTAATGACTGATGATCTGAGCTGGGACAGTTTCATCCCAAAACCAACCGCTTACCCCACCCCATTCATGGAAAAACTGTCTTCCATGAAACCGGTCCCTGGTGCCAAAATGGTTGGGGACTACTGCTTTAGTTTTTACTGTTTCCTTATTTTTAAATTCTTTCCCTGGCAGTGAGAAACCCATTTCTTATTATCTTCAGTATATTTACCTATTTGTTCAATTTTAGCATACCCATTGTTTCAGAACTGTCAAACCATAAACCTTTGAGAAACACATTTACTTGTAATATTACAGGATTTATGCATGCATAATCCTATTTATGCATGCATAATAGTTCCTTGTGTCTTTAGCCTTACAATATCCATCAAGACAGTGTTCTCCAAACCTAGTTCTTTTCTTCCCCATTCCCTTGAATATGATTATATTATTTATTTGCACTATGGGCAGATCATGTGTTCTTGTTTCTGCTCCAGTTTGGGCTCCCCCTGGATCCTGCTTGGTTATTGTTTATTATTTTGGGTATGTGATGGATACATGAAACATTACTATGATTCTAAGGGTAAGAGCTCTTAAATATATATACTTAGAAAAATGTCATGCCCTCCTCATCCCTGCTAACCTGTTTTGATTCCTCTATTCTTTCCATCCTTTTCTCATCTTACTCCATCACGTAACCAATCTCTTTAGTTTCTGCTTTACCCTCTCTGTATCTCTTCTACACAAAGAAATTGATATTTTTTCAAATTTCTTTTTTTCTTATTTGAAGAGTTGTGTATTATAGATATTCTTTTGTGCTTTGCTTTTTAGTGTAACAATATGTACTGGAAATCAAAGTGTAATACTCTTTGCACCTAAATTAAAATATATGATAGCTCCGGAATAAAAAAAAGTTTCAAAATAATGTGTTCTTTAAAGAACACTGTTTAAATTTAAACCTTTAAAATGTTCCTATTTTTACATCCATCTGTATTTCTGGCAAAGGAACAAATATTTTAACTTTGTGTACTCTGGGCAATGTTCACCATTGTCAAGCTCAGCTTTCCTTGAAGGTCAGCAGGCCTGACATCTGACATGGAATCACGAAAATTGTCTCTCCCTTTCCGCAGTTGGAAACTATGCAAACTGTTGGAAAAAACTGGAATTGACTGGCTGTGTTTGGTTTGGACAACTCATCGAAATGAGAGGGAGCCCAGCACGAGTTCTGCTTGAGTGATGTCTGAAAATCTGGCCTCTCAGTCTACCTTAAAAGCCTACCTATTTGGCTTTCACTAGAGTTCAGATACATAAAACAAATATCTTTGCTTTGGCTTCCCTTGAGTCATATCAATCTACACCTCATCAAGAATATGAAGTTTGGAAGAACAAAGAAGCAATTGAGCATCCTAAACTCAACGGTTAGTTTTGGTTTTTGGGAATGTCAGTGAAAAGACTTAAGGTTGTTTTATTAATCACGTTTTGTTGGTATTTTCTGTGGCTAGTAGGAATTTGAGTAGAAAAAGTTGTCTTTTCTGTTGTCAATAAGAAAAATTTATACCTACCAATGCCAACTTTTAAATTTAGGGTTTTTAAAATTACACTTTTATAAAAGAAAACACTTATCCAGGAAAGTAGATGTCAATTAACATTTTAAAAGATTGATGTGTTTGAATATTAAGAAAGCCAATTACATTTTGGTCTGTCAGTTAAAGAGATTTTTCTGTGTTTATAATATAATATTTCAAAACCTAGTTTAGTGATATATTTGTATATGGAAAGATTAACAGCTTGAAAATTATATCTTCATGAAGAAAGAAAGAATAGAGTGCTTTATTTAAAAGTTATAGCTTTTCAACCAAATCTGGAAATACTATATCTTTGTCCACCTCTATCAAGAATGAAGGAAATTCTCTGGGTAGAAAGGCCTTACAAAAATTTCATAATCTCTAAGTTAAGAGTATGGGCAATTAGAGAACCAAATTATCAAGATGGTCACCTTCACTATCTACTTGCTCTTTATATATAAGTACTTTGATGTGGTCAAAATTTCTACTTCTAAACTTAGTTTAAGATACTTGTATGGTCCTAGAACAAATTTCTTGTACAAAAGAAGCATCTGTGAAGCATTAAAAGGGCAATTGCCGAGGCCCCATCCCCAGAGACTTTGATTTTGGTCCTGAAATCTGTATTGTTAACAAGGGCTGGTAGTTAAGAAACAGTGTCCTAGACTGGAAGGGGACATGAAGATCATCTAGCCTAACCCACTTATTTTACAAATGAAATGGTTGAGATCAAGACAGAAGTCAAAGCCAAAATATTGTTACTTATTCATTCAAAAAATATTTAAGGGGCACCCATACTCGATGCATGAGGCACTGAGAATACTGTGGCAAATATGACAGAGTGAGCCTTGCCTTTATAATCTCACGGGGAGTCAGGGTTCATGGCAGAAGTAAGATAATGCAAACTGAATTATGTCCTAAATCAGAGTTCCTGCTATTCTAATATGCAGCTTTTGCCTTAGTTTGGGTTATCATTACAATCCTTGAGAAAGACATATCATCACTACAACGTCTGAAACTGCAGGCAAGGGGAATGTCATAGAGGTAGATTTTACCATGGGATGGCCCTCACAGTTTACTTTTAATTTTTATAAATAATTTTACAAGTAAAATATATGAATTGTATATTCTTTTAAAATAATTCTTATCCTTCAGATTTTTCCCATGTTCTTGAAAAGTCTGTTACATTTGCAATAGTTATAATTCCTTACTGGCTTCCACCTCTGAAAAGTTTTGGGGTTACGTTGAAATGTTGACAAGGGGGAAGCACTTGCCCCTTCACCATCCCCAACTTCTAAAACTCACACTGGGGCTAACTCACATTGTGAGCCCTAAGCACTGTCAAGCTCAATCTTTTGCTTATGTTGCTTATGATGGGTAAGGCAAGCTCATCTGTGGTCAAGCTTATGTAACTTTACTTATAAAAAATGTATTGTTTTGTTTTGCATACAGTAGGGCAAGTAACATGGACATTGATACACCAAGTTCCTTCTTGTTTTTCCTTGAAAGTTGGCTTGATGAATGTATTCTGCAGGGATTTTAAAGGTGTGGAAATGAAGCAGACATCAAGGTAATGATTTCAGCATATGAAACCTCTGTATGATGTGAAAAGACAGAGTTCATAAGTAAAAGCTGAGAGTTTGGAGATTAATTTAAATTCCAGAACAATATATAGTCTCACTATTGCTAACTCTAAAATCTGGATTCAATAAACTTCTGCTTTCCGGGTCTTTACCAAGATTCCTTTCTTAACTTGTATTTCTGTCTTAGAAGCACTCGGTCCCAATCAAATTCTATTGGGTGAATGAATAGTGAATTATAGTAACATAGTTTTCAAGCAAAATGTAAACAGAATGTTAAAGAATTTTAGTAAATGATTAGCTTTAATATCTATCATTTATGTTGTAGATTTCATTGTAGGCTTATAGTGGGGATTTCTCAAACATACTAATAGTAGTATTAACCTTTCATTTTGTATTAACTTAATAGATGATACAATATATTAAAATAAATTTTAAACTTCAAATTGCTTCACTCTTTCCAATTAAATTGTCACTTATATTTGGATAGAATTTGGATGGAATTTTGTGCAAAATTTTTAAAAGGCCAAAGGCAGGAAAAATTATTCCATTGGATATCATAAAGTTTGCATATTTATTCAGACCTTCTTAACCTTGCAAGTCTGTTAAAAGTGGTATGGAAATTGTTCATGAACAGGCTTCCTCATTAGATTTTTGGCACCTTTATATTAGTCCCAGCCAGAACCCTGAAGAGCAAAGGCAAAATTGGAACACATTTATCTGAATATTTCAGAATCTCCAATGAGATTACTTCTAAAAGCCAGCAAAGGGTCATGGGGATTCTTTTATTCCTGCTGCTGCTTCTATAAAAATCTATCATTATCGAAATTCATTATAGAAAAAAATTGCTACCTCCAAATATGCTTTATTTGTAGAAAGTCTGTGCACAAACTTTTTGGTTGAGTTTCAGGTCTAGAAAACAATCTTATTAAACACGGCGGCCATCCAAGTGCAATTTAAAGATCCCATGGCAATTTTCAAAAGGAGCAAGGATTAATCCCAAATCCTGGCCAATATCAATAAAACTGCTTCTAATTTCCACAGTCCCGTTTGAGCTACTGTCAAGAGCACAATGGGTTTCTCCATTAGCATACATAGTTTCTCACTACCAATGTTTAACTCATTACTTTGTAAAGCACTTTAAAGTACTTTAAAATACTCCAAGTATGAAAACTTCTCTTTAAAAACAGTCCTGTGTTGTTCTGCTCCATATCAGAATAACCTACCTAATCCACCTGAAATAACATTAATGATTCCTAAACTCGAAGCTTTACAAAGGCGTTTTTCTCCACCAATTCTAAATAAAATACATGGCACCATGTAGATTACTTTCAACCCATATCTAATTAACATGCTATGGTTTATACTTGTTTTTTGAAAATGGCCATGAGTGATCTAAGTCCCCTCCTTAACTACCAACATCTTGATAACAGAATCCACTTTTGAGTTATCTCTCTGAGAGCCAGTCACATTGTATATTTTAAAGTAGCTACTTAATTAATATTTGGGATAAAAATTGTCATTTATTGATTTTTTCAAATATCCATCCCATCCATCTATCTTTCTTATGTGACAGTCATGAGCCAGACACTAACGATAAAGAGGTACATTTAAATTTTTTTTCTTCAACGTTTATTTTTAAGTTCATGGGTACATGTGCCAGATGTGGAGGTTTGTTACATAGGTTAATGTGTGCCATGGTAGTTTGCTGCACAGATCATCCCATCACCTAGATATTAAGCCCAGCATCCATTAGCTATTCTTCCTGATGCTCTCCCTCCCTCCACTGCGCCCTCAAAAAACGGGTTCCAGTGTGTGTTGCTGCTCTGCAATGTGTCCATGTGTTCTCATCATTCAGCTCCCACTTACAGGGGACAACATGTGGTGTTTGTTTTTCTGTTCCTAAGGATAGTGACGTCCAACTTTATCCATGTCCCCACAAAGGACATGATCTTATTCTTTTATGGCTGCATAGTATTCCATGATACATATGTACCACATTTTCTTTACCCAGTCTATTATTGGTGGACATTTGGGTCGATTCCATGTCTTTGCTATTGTAAACAGTGCTGCAGTGAACACATATGTGTATGTGTCTTTATAATAAAATGATTTATATTCCTTTGGATATATACGTAGTAATGGGATTGCTGGGTCAAATGGTATTTCTGCCTCTAGGTCTTTGATGAATTACCACACTGTCTTCCACAATGATTGAACCAATTTACACTCACACCAACAGTGTAAAAGTGTTCCTTTTTCACCACAACCTCACCAGCATCTGTTGTTTTTTGAGTTTTTAATAATACCCATTCTGACTGGCGTGAGATGGTATCTTCTTGTGGTTTTGATTTGCATTTCTCTAGTGATTAGTGATGTTGAGCTTTTTTTCATGTTTGTTGGCCGCATGTATGTCTTCTTTTGAGAAGTGTCTGTCAATGTCCTTTACCTACTTTTTAATGAGGTTGGTTGTTTTTTCTTGTAAATTCTTGTAATTCTTGTAAGTTCCTTGTGGACTCTGGATATTAGACCTTTGTGAGATAGATAGACGACAAAAATTTTCTCCCATTCTGTAGGTTGTCTGTTCACTCTGATGGTTGTTTCTTTTGCTGTGCAGAAGCTCTTTAGTTTAATTAGATCACATTTGTCAATTTTTGCTTTTGTTGCAATTGCTTTTGGCATCTTCATCATGAAATCTTTGGCTGTGCCTATGTCTTGAATGGTATTACCTAGATTTTCTTCTAGGGTTCTTATAGTTTTGAGTTTTACATTTAAGTGTTTAATTCATCTTGAGTTAATTTTTGTATATGGTGTAAGCAATTGGTCCAGTTTCAATTTTCTGCATATGGCCAGCCAGTTCTCCCAGCACCATTTATTAAACAGGGAATCTTTTTCCCATTGCTTGTTTTTGTCAGGTTTGTTGCAGATCAGATGGTTGTAGATGTGTGGTCTTCTTTCTGAGTTCTGTATTCTGTTACATTGGTCTATGCTCTTTTTGTACCCATACCATGCTGTTTTGGTTACCGTAGACTTGCAGTATAGTTTGAAGTTGGGTATCATGATGCCTCCAGTTTTGTTCTTTTTGCTTAGGCTTGTCATGGCTATTCAGGCTCTTTACTTATTCCATATGAATTTTAAAATAGTTTTTTTCTAATTCTGTGAAGAATGTCAATGGTAATTTAATAGGAATAGCATTGAATATACGAATTACTTAGAGCAGTATGGAAATTTTAACAATATTTATTCTTCCTATCCGTGAGCCTGGAATGTTTTTCCATTTGTTTGTGTCCTCTCTGATTTCTTTGAACAATGTTTTGTAGTTCTCCTTGAAGAGGTCCTTCGCTTCCCTTGTTAGCTGTATTCCTAGGTACTTTATTCTTTTTGCAGCAATTGTGAATGGGAGTTCATTTATGATTCCGCTCTCTGCTTGTCTGTTGTTGGTGTATAGGAATGCTAACAATTTTTGCACATTGATTTTGTATCTTGAGAATTTGTTGAAGTTGCTTATCAACTTAAGAAGCTTTGGGGCTGAGATGATGAGGGTTTCTAGATATAGGGTTATGTCAGCTGCAAACAAAGGCAATTTGACTTCCTCTCTTCCTATTTGAATACTCTTTATTTCTTTCTCTTGCCTGATTGCCCTGGTCAGAAATTCCAATACTACGTTGAATAACAGTGGTGAGAGAGGGCATCCTTGTCTTGTGCAAGTTTTGAAAAAGAATACTTCCAGCTTTTGCCCATTCAGTATAATATTGGCTATGGGGTTGTCATATATGGCTTTTATTATTTTGAGGTATGTTTCTTCAATGCCTACTTTATTTAGAGTCTTTAATATGAAAAGATGTGGAATTTTACAAAAGGCCTTTTCTGCATCTATTGAGATAATCATGTAGTTTTTGTCTTTAGTTCTGCTAATGTGATGGAATCACATTTATTGATTTGTGTATGTTGAACCAACCTTGCATCCCATGGATAAAGCCTACTTGGTTGTGGTAGATAAGCTTTTTGATGTGCTGTTGGATTTGGTTTGCCAGTATTTTATTAAGAATTTTTGGCATTGATGTTCAAGAATATTGGCTTGAAGTTTTCTTTTTTTGTTGTATTTCTGCCAGGTTTTAGTAAAAGGATAATGCTGGCCTCAAAGAATGAGTTAGAAAGGAGTCCCTCCTTTTCGATTTTCTGGAAGGGTTTCAGTAGAAATGGTACCAGCTCTTCTTTGTACCTCTGGTAGAATTTGGCTGTGAATCCATTTGGTCCTGGCATTTTTTTGATTGGTAGGCTATTTATTACTGCCTCAATTTCAGAACTTGTTATTGGTCTATTCGCAATTCAATTTCTCTGTGGTTTGGTCTTGAGAGGGTGTATGTGTTCAGAAATCTCTGCATTTCTTCTAGATTTTCTAGTTTATGTGCATAGAGGGGTTTATAGTATTCTCTGAGGGTTGTATGTATTTTTGTGGAGTCAGCAGTGATATCCCCCTTTTGTGGAGTCAGCAGTGATATCCCCCTTATCATTTCTGATTGTGTTTATTTGATTTTTCTCTCTTTTCTTTTTTATTAATCTAGCTAGCAGTCTTTTTTTTTTTTTTTTTGATGGAGTTTTGCTCTTGTCACCCAGGCTGGAGTGCAATGGCACAATCTTGGCTCACTGCAACTTCCACCTCCCTGGTTCAAGTGATCCTCCTGCCTCAGCCTCCCGAGTAGCTTGGATTACAGGCACCCACCACTACATCCATCTAATTTTTGTATTTTTAGTAGAGACGGGATTTCACCACTTTGGCCAGGATGGTCTCAAACTCCTGAACTCAGGTGATCAGCCTGCCTCTGCCTCCCAAAGTGCTGGGATTACAGGTGTGAGCCACCACACCCAGCCTATTTTATTAATTTTTTTCAAAAAACCAGCTCCTGGATTTGTTGATTTTTTGAAGGGTTTTTCACATCTTTATCTCCTTCAGTTCAGCTCTGATCTTGGTTATTTCTCGTCTTCTGCTAGTTTTGGGTTTTGTTTGCTCTTAGCTCTCTAGTTATTTTAGTTGAAATGTTAAGCTGTTAAGTTGAAATCTTTCTAGCTTTTTGATGTGGGCATTTAGTGCTATAAGTTTCCCTCTTTACACTGCTTTAGCAGCATCCCAGAGATTCTGGTACATTGTCTGTTCTTATTAGTTTCAAAGAACTTACTGATTTCTGCTTTAATTTCATTATTTGCCCAAGAGTCATTCAGGAGCAGGTTGTTCAATTTCCATGTAGTTGTGTGGTTTTGAATGAATTTCTTAATCTTGAGTTCTAATTTGATTGCATCGGTCTGAGAGACTGTTATGATTTCAGTTCTTTTGCATTTGCTGAGGACTGTTTTACTTCCAATGTGATCAATTTTAGACTTAGTGCCATGTGGCAATGAGAAGAATGTATATTCTGTTGTTTTGGGATGGAGAGTTCTGTAGATATCTGTGAGGTCCTCTTGATCCAGAACTGCGTTCAGGTCCTGAATATCTTTATTAATTTTCTGTCTATTTTCTCACAGTGGGGTGTCCCATTATTATTGTGTGGTAGTCTAATGCCTAATGTCTCTTCGTAGGTCTCTAAGAAAACATGCTTTATGAATCTAGGTGCTCCTGTATTGGGTACATATATATTTAGGATACTTAGCTCTTCTTGTTGAATTGACCCTTTACCATTATGTAATGTCCTTCTTTGTCTTTTTAAATCTTTATTGGTTTAAAGTCTGTCTTCTCAGAAACTAGGATTGCAACCCCTGCTTTTTTCTGTTTTCCATTTGCTTGGTAAATTTTCCTCCATCCCTTTATTTTGAGCTTATGTGTGTCTTTGCACATGATGGATCTCTGAAGCAGGAGAATTACTTAAACCTGGGAGGTGGAGGTGGCAGTGAACCGAAATCATGCCACTGCACTCCAGCCTGGGCAATACAGCAAGCCTCTGTCTTAAAAAAAACAACAAAACTGAAGATTGGCCACAGTCTCTTCTGGCTTGTAGGGTTTCCACTGAGAGGTTTTCTGTTAGTTTGATGGGTTTCCCTTTGTAGGTGACCTGGCCTTTCTCTCTGGCTGCCCTTAACATTTTTTCTTTCATTTTGACCTTGGAGAATCTTATTATGTTGTGTCTTGGGGTTGATCTTCTCATGGAGTATCTTACTGGGGTTCTCTGCATTTCCTCAATTTGAATGTTGGCCTATCTTGTTAGGTTGGGGAAGTTCTCCTAGATGATATCCTGAAGTATGTTTTCCAACTTGGTTCTATCTCCCCATCTCTTTCAGATATCCCAATCAGTAGTATGTTTGGTCTTTTTACATAATCCCATATTTCTCATAGGTTTTGTTCATTCCTTTTCATTCTTTTTTCTCTATTCTTATCTGCCTGTCTTATTTCAGAAAGATAGTCTTCAAGCTCTGAGATTCTTTCCTCTGCTTGGCCTCTTCTGCTATTGATACCTGTGATTCCATTGTGAAGTTCTTTTGCTGTGTTTTTCAGCACCATCAGGTTGGTTATGTTCTTCTCTAACCTGGCTATTCTGGCTATCAGCTCCTGTATTGTTTTATCATGATTTTTGGTTTCTTTGCATTGGGTTACAACATGCTCCTTTAGCTCAGCTAAGTTCATCATTACCCACCTTTCAAAGCCTACTTCTGTCAGTTCAGCCATCTCGGCCTTAGCTCAGTTCTGTGCCCTTACTGGAGAGATGTTGCTGTCATTTGGAGAAGAGGCACTCTGGCTTTTTGAGTTTTCAGGATTTCTGCATTGATTCTTTCTTATTTTTGTGGGCTTATCTACCTTTGATCTTTGAGGTTTGCTGTCCTTTGGGGTTTTTGTGGGGTCTTTTTTGTTGATGTTGTTGTTGTTTTCTGTTTGTTTTTCTTTTAACAGTTATGCTATTCTTCCATAGGACTGCTGCAGTTTACTGGGGGTCCACTCCAGACCTTAGTTGCTTCAGTTTTTCCCTGTACCTGGAGGTATCGTCAGTGAAGCCTGCAAAACAGCAAAGATGGCAGCCTGCTCCTTCCTCTGGAAGCTCCATCCCAGGGATGCACTGACCTGTTGCCAGAAGGAACATGCCTGTAGGAGGTGGCTGGAGACCCCTGCTGGGAGGTCCCACCCACTCGGGAGGAATGGGATCAGGGACCCACCCCAAGAAGCCCTCTGGCTGCCCTTTGGTAGAGTAGGTGCCAGGAGACCCTTCCTTGCCTGGACCATTTGTATTTTCCAAAGTTGGCAGGCTGGAATGGCTGAGTTTACCAAACTGCAGAGATGACAGCTGCTCTTCCCCTGTGAGCTTCATTCCAGGGAGAGATCAGAACTTTGTCTGTAGAACCCTTGCTTGTGTGGCTGAAGCCCCTGCAGGGAGGACTTGCCCAGTGAAGAGGAATAGATTGAGGTACCGCTTAAAGAAGCAGTCTGGCCATGATCTGGCAAGGCAGCTGTGCTGTGCTGCAGGGAACCTCTCCTTGCTCGAACTTCTTGTATTCTTCAAAGCTAGCAGGCTGAAACCAATAAATTTAAATTTAAATAGGTAAAAATAAGTAAATAAAGATAAAGAAAAATAAATTGACTGATTTATTCTGCCTTCAGGAGCTCTTAGATGATGTAGGAAAACAAATAATACTGTACAATCAAAGTCGAAATTCCTTAAGCAGAGGGTCTTATGAGAACACAAAGGGAAGGCAACTGGAGCTTTACAGATGACTTCCTAGACTAGAGATACCTGATGTGGGTCTTTAGGGTTAAGTCATTAATAGCAAGGCCAAGTAGAGGAAGAGCATATCCTACAGAGAAAAAAAGAATAAGCAAAGGCTGGCTGTTGAGAGAATTGCAAGTGCTTAGTATGACTATAGCGGTAGTCTCAACAGGAGCAGGACATCCTTAGGGGATGTTTTGAAAAATTTTTGTGGAATTTTCTTGGTCCCAGTAATTAGTAAGCACTATTAGCCTTAAAATGATAAAGGGCCACTGAGCTAGATGTTCTGCAATGGGCAAGACAATTGCACACAATGAAAAATTGTCCCAAGTTCAAGTTTGGACAAGTTAGGGATGTCCCTCCAGGCATTTTTGTCAATGAAAAACCTCTTTGTAACTGTCTTGGCATAGAGCCTAACTCCATATATACATATAACACAAAATATTTTTGCACAGTTTTAATATACACTAAATTTTCCAGGGACACAATTACATAAATTAAGGAAAGATCATGCTTTGCTGTGTTTGGAACTTATCAAGAGTCATTCACCATTCTAGAAAATAGCATCAAAGATGCAATATAGCTCTTGGTGTCTGAGTTGCCAGTTCAGCCATCTGTGTCAATCTGTATTTGTAGATATTGCAGTCAAGGTGATATTATTTTTAAGCAAAAGTGTCTGACAACTTTATTAAGTTCCCCAATGTAGCTGTGCCATAGCATTTTAGATTATTTTAAATTGTATATTACTTTCCTTTTATTTTTCCTCTAATGATAGATACTTAGGGCATTTTTTTTAAAAACCCAATGAGAAGACAGGTTATTTTATCTATGAGTTTCATTTCAGGATAGTAAAAGTGTATTACAAAATGCTGGTTGTAACAACGGGGACATTAGGTTGCAAAGGACAGAATGGGCTGGTATGTCAGTAGCATCTCTTTCCCCAAAGACCTCAGTTGTGACATGTGAAACTCTAATTGCTATGTGATGTTTCCAGTTGTAAGGGCCTGATTATGGTTTAATGCTTGCTGGAAAAATAAATGAGCAAAATCAAGTTAGGAGACCACTTATTTTTCCCTGCATGAAACATTTTAATGTGACTTTACACTTATATTTCCCTGGCTATTTTGGCAACATAAAAGGCCCAGTCTATATCAAGGCCCAAGTGAATAAATTCAAGAGCTGTTTTTATCTTAACTTTTCTAACTAGTCCTTTGGCACCATTCAGAGACGGTAATGATAATAGCAATGATATTAATGAACTAGCATTTAGTAAGCACCTACTACATGCTAAAGACTGGGCAAAGTATTTTCCATAGCAAATCTCCTAGCCTTACAATTAACATGTAAAGGTAAACACTTTTATCACTACTTTATTTATGAACAAAAGGAATCAAGTGACACTCCTGAGGCCACAACAGCGTTAAGTGGTAGAGGAAGGATCCAAGGCCAAATGTACTTGGATCCTCTTTCTATGACACCAAACTTCGCGTATGTAAAAATAGTGTTCTTTTCTGGGTTTCTGTGATTTCACACATTCTAGGCAGGTAAGATTTTAAATGGACAAACTGCAGCACATGGGTGAAATCTGTTACCACTTGAAACTGTGGTAGAAAAATAGCTAAGAAGCATACAATTTAGTATTCATTGGCTACTATATGGCATCATGACAAAATGGCAAGATCATAGGCCTCTCCATGAATTATAATGAAAGCAGATAAGATATGAACATACTGATGTTTGATTGCTTCAAATTTGGAATTACTTGAATAGATGTTTTGGGTTTAACTCTGACATCACCCAACATTCATTGAAACATGGGGTGCGATTATGACGTATTAAAGGAAGAATTAGTACCTGATCATATTGTCCTTGGGAAGAAATTACTTTTATTTCTAGTCTCTCTTTTTAAAAAATAAAGGAAGGAGACAAGATATTGAAATGTGCACTTCAAGATATTGAAGTGAGGGATTTCCTTATGGCAAAGACAAGTGACTTATCCCATTGTTGTCACTGTGGTAAATGAATACCTCTTATCAAAAACACTTAGAATAAAGATTTTAAGTAAGTTATGAAAAAAATTGTTAGAGCTGAACAAGTTGCACTTTAAATTTGCTTTACTATACAGAATTTAAGTACCTGTTGAGATTTTACACTGATTCATATTATTTCCCTTCTCCCCACCCCCATTCATCTTTGTCATCATCACCACAACCCACATGTGGAGATTATTGAGTAGACAAATGGTTGACTTCAGAACCAGAGAAACTTAGATTGACATTCTGGGTCTGGATGGGAGACCTGGAGCAAGCTTCTTTTCTTCCATTTGCTGCATTTTTTCTGGAAAGTGAGAATAATTCCATGTGTAAGCAGAACTGTGCCTGGCACATGGCATGTGCTCAATAAATGGCAGCTATCACTGAATGTGGTAAATACCAAGGAGAAGAAGGGGTATAAGCCATGGTCCCTGGGCTCAAACAACTTAAAATTTATTTGGGATAAAAGGACTCATACATAAAAGATAAATGCTAATAGATCACAGACTACACTAATTGCATAATGAATCAGACAGACAATAAATACTGAAGGCGTTCCCACAGGCAGGATCAGTCAGGCAGGGCTCCATGGAGAAACAGGGTCTGGCAGTGGGACTCAAGCATGGTCAGGAAAAGCAGAAAGGTGTTCCTAGCAACCGGGCTGGCACCCAGGGGCCAAACAGGCACAGCAGGCCAGCACCAATACTTTTAGGCATCCACAAACATCTTTTGTTATTTCTCTCACAGAAGAAAAACAATGACACTAATAATAATGAATATGTAGTAATCAACCCAGCCTGTATTAGATTTGCCTTTATACTAACACAGCTGTAAAGAATAATTTTTGTATTTTTTTTAATGGCAGAAGGGGCCCATGAAGGCAGATGTTTCTGGGGTCCGCCTAAGTCGTAAGGCAGCCCTGCCAGAGAGGAATCAGGGAAGCTTTTTCCAGAAATTTATGCCACTCCCTCTGTTAGCTTATTCTTCAAAGTTTGTGAATCAAACCAGGATGCAACGGTATGTCATATGATGAAATCATATGTTATTTTAAAGAAAAGTTTTCATGGCATGTGAAATTCTCTTTCTTTTAATTCATCCAAACTTGCCTGCCATTTTACCTCATAAAAATCTTCCAAGCTGATTCTGACTCCCAAGGCCTTCAGAGGCAAGCTCTTCAATCCAAAGGGATTCAGAAGGATGTGGTCCCTCTCAGTGCCTGTGTGTTCTTGGGCTGTCACCAGATGCTCACTGAGACAGATGTCACCAATTCCCTTCCTACAGAAGAAGCAGACAAGCAGTCAGAGCTGCTAACTGGAGTCCCTGAATTCCAGCATTTTATTTACTATCACTGGAGAACAAGCAGTCATGCTATCCCTCATTGGAGAAGCAGGGAAGAAATACTAAATTTGAGGATATTTTTGTTTTACATAAAAGCTCAGAATTACGGATGGTATTTCTTTCTTGGTTTCAAAAGGGAGTACTATGTCTCTATGCCTGCTCTCCCCAAATCCACTACTGATAACCATAAATTAATAAGTGGATTAGATGAATTAAATCTTTTTTTTCTGAACTCTTTCTAGGTAAGAATCATACAATATCAGAGCCAGAGGAGATCATAGATACTATCTTATTCTTTCCCTCCACCTTTTTTCTCTTTCGTGGTGATTGACCTGTTTTAGGATATTTTGTGGTTTTTCTTCTTTTGCCTACCTTGTAAGTGTGTTGTTCATCAGGTTTTTGTATTCTTTCTTTTTCTCTTTTTATCCTATCAACTTTTGAGGAGTAACTTCCAAATTGTTCCTGCTTGTGCATCCAAATGAGTTCTGCTCCTCGAAATAATCCTGACCCATCCACCCACAAACAAGAATGGCAAAGCTATACAGTGGGCGCCAGCCATGTCTTCAAGCCAGCGTCACTCAGACTACCTCTGCCTGATGTTATAAACTCTTTTTCCTTTATTTCAATTTCTTAGCCCTCCAATTTTTATTTAACTTCACACTTCATCTTTCAATACTCATTTCAGACCCTTCTTGAATTTTTTTTCACTTTTATCTCACATCCAATAACCTATTATCTTCTCAACTTTTATAAACTACTTTAGACTTAACTCTTCCACCAGGCCTTGCTATTCTCTAATCTTAGCTTCCATTCTGGTCCAATGACTCATGTTCCACTGCTTCTGCTAAGGGCTGTTTCTATGTCCTGGCCTAGTTCCATGAACTCACACATGCCCACTTTCGTCATCCTCTCTGTAAAGAGAAGAAAATCAGAAAAATGGCTCCATCTATCATATCTATACTATGATGTATTAGTCTGTTCTCACACTGCTAATAAAGACATACCCAAGACTGGGTAATTATAAAAGAAAGAGGTTTAACTGACTCACAGTTCTACATGGCTGGGGAGGCCTCACAATCATGGCGGAAGGCAAGAGGGAGCAAGTCACATCTTAAATGGCGGCAGGCAAGAGGGCTTATGCAGGAGAACTCCCATTTATAAAACCATCAGATCTCATGAGATTTATTTACTATCATGAGAATAGCATGGGAAAGACCCAACCCCATGATTCAATTACGTCCTACTGGGTTCCTCCCATGACACGTGGGAATTATGGGAGCTAGAATTCAAGATGAGATTTGGGTGGGGACACAGCCAAACCATATCGTATGACTTCTAAATCATTAGGTCAAACTTATCTTCTGAGCTTCACATTCTCTCATTCAGCTCTTGTTGGACAATTTCCTCCTAGTGGTCCCACGATTACTTCAGTTACAAGACATGCGTAGTAGAACTGACCTTCCTCCATGTCCACTCTCTATTTGGTTATTTGGCCTCACCATTCTCCAAGACAACCAAGTTTCACACTTTCCTCCTACTTGTCAGTTTTAATTCAGCAAATTCTTCTTCATACACAATAGTCCCCCTTATCCTTAAGGGATACATTCCAAGGCCTCCAGTGGGTGCCTGAAACTTTGGATGTATATACTATGTTTTCTCCTATACATATACACCTATGATAAATTTTAATTTTTAAATAAGGTATAGTTAGAGATTAACAACACAATAATAAAATAGAACAATTCTAACAACATATTGTGAAAAAACATTATGTGAATGTGGTCTGTCTCTCAAAATATCTTACTGTACTGTACCACCCTTCTTCTTGTGATGATGTGAGCTGATACAATGCCGATGTGATGAGATGATGTGAGGTGAATGAGGTAGGCATTGTGATGTAGCGTGAGGCTCCAGTTGGCCTTCTGTATTACCGAATCTGTGTAACCATCTCTTAATTGCAGCAGATGGCTTGGTGTCACTCATTTCAGGGGATCCCTTGCTTAAGTCTTCACACAGGCCCAGTGCTTTCTAGCACAACACGTTGCCGTCAATCAGAACACATTTCTGTTCATATCTTCCACCCACAAATTTAATGCCTTTTCTATATTAACTAAATACTTCTCACACACCATAACTGTAACTTTTGCAGTTTGAGATGTGATAACAAAGCTGGAATAAATTTCTTTTTTCCTTCTTCACAATTTTTTATGGATAAGAGATTCATTCTTGCTGTAGATCTTAGCAACCTTAGCATACAATTTTTTTTCTTTCCTTAAGTCAAGAACTTTCACTTTTTCACTTATAGGAAACACTTAATGGCTTCCCTTTGGCAAAGCTGAATTGCCAGGGTCATTACCCTTGTGCTTTCAGGCCACTATGGAGCAAAATAAAGGTGACTTGAAAACAAACACTGCAATACTGCAAAAGTCCATCTGATAATCAAGTCAGGCTACTAAGTGACTAATGGATAGGCAGCATCTACAGCATGGATTCACTGAACAAAGGCATGATTTATGTTATAGGAAAGGTGGAGCAGGACAGATTTCATCATGCTACTCTGAACAGCACACAATTGAAAACTTAACGAATTGGTTGTTTCTGGAATTTTCCATTCAATATTTTTGGATTGATGGTTGATGGTATGTAACCGAAACCTTGGAAAGCAAAACTGCAGATGAGGAGGGGACTACTATAAAACCTCCTTTTGGATCCACTTCCCCACCCTATCTCTCAGATGATAAAAAATTGTTTTGCACATGGATTGTCCTGTTCCCAAAGTCTCTATCTCTCACTAAATTGTACATGATACCATTAGGTAGCAGTTCCCCAGGGAGGCAAAAGAGGAAGGGTAGTCAAGGCAGAAGGAACAGTATGAAATGAAGACGCGAACATACAGCGTCTCTGTGTGCATAGGGAACTGCAAGCAATTCTCCTCCACTTTGGCTATATATACCATGGTGGGGCGAAACTGTTGTTACTAGAAAGGTAAAGGGATTGCAGACCCAGGCAGGACAGGCCTTCTGTGTTCTCTTAAGATTAGACTTCATGTTTTAGTGAATGAAGAACTATACTATGTTTGCAAATCTGGAGGATAGTCTGATTAGGACTTGGTGACTGTTGGATCCAGGAGGTGAAAGAAGCTAAGAGAGAAGATAGTAAATCCAATGAACATGGGAATTGGCTTTTAACCACAGTGGCAGTCACTGTCCTATCCCTACCCAATAGCCAAGCATCCCACCCCTTCTTACTCATAAAATCCTCACAGAGAAAAAGTGCTCAATAAAGACAGGCACTGCCCAAGACCCAAGGGTTAACCCTAAATGGTGTAAGCAAAATTATAATCTCATTCTTCTTTGTTAGTGACTGGCTTAACGATGGACATATAACCCAGTTTTGACCAGTCTCTTGGAGGCTTCTGGGGAAGATTTCCTCCCCAATAAAAATAGTTTGTGGTGCCTACAGTTACACCAGCTATCCTTTGAACAGAAAGAGTCAAGCTTGGGAGACAAAAGCCAACATGCTGAGGGAAGCAGAGTGGAAGACAGGGAATAGTCCAGGTCCTTGATGATATATCATGGAACAGTTAAGTCAACCCTGGTACCACCAGCCTTTGGAATCTCAATCTTGTAAGATAATAAATGTTCTAATTGTAAACTTTCTTCTGGCTGAGTTTCCCATTTTTTGCAGCTGTACCCACCCTAACTGACATGTAATGAGATGGTTAACTGAACAAATGCTGGAGCTGAACTTCTTAGGTTCAAGTCTTAGTTGTAGCACTTCTACTAGCTGTGTGAGTTTGGGCAAGTGACTTAATCTTTCTGGACATCAGTTTCCTCATCTGTAAATTTGAAATGATAATAACAGCTCATAACTCACAGTGTTTTGGAAATCAAAAAATACATATATCAAGCACTTAGAATATTCTGGTACATAGTAAGAGCTCAATGAGAGTCATACAAAGGCTCAATAAATATGTTCTCAATCAATTAAATTCTAGATAAAGAAACTGAGTCCCAGACACATTAAGTAATTCATTCATAGTCACATGGCTAAATTGGGACTGAGATTAGACTAAGACCTAGGTCTACTAACTGACAAAGTAGGGGTTTTCCAATAGTTCTCCAGGGAGGAAAACATCACAGGCATAACACTTCCCTCAGCAGGGTCAGAGGATGTCTGCAGATGACCAGTGTTGAGAGCTCATCTCAGAGTAAAATTTAAATTTTTGGAAAAGATTTTACATTTTAAAATTTACAGTTTTTTTTATTATTATACTTTAAGTTTTAGGGTACATGTGCACAATGTGCAGGTTTGTTACACATGTATACATGTGCCATGTTTGTGTGCTGCACCCAGTAACTCGTCATTTAGCATTAGGTATATCTCCTAATGCTATCCCTCCCCGCTCCCCCAACCCCACAACAGTCCCCGGTGTGTGATGTTCCCCTTCCTGTGTCCAAGTGTTCTCATTGTTCAATTCCCACCTGTGAGTGAGAACATGTGGTGTTTGGTTTTCTGTCCTTGTGATAGTTTGCTGAGAATGATGGTTTCCAGCTTCATCCATGTCCCTACAAAGGACATGAGCTCATCATTTTTTATGGCTGCGTAGTACTCCGTGGTGTATATGTGTCACATTTTCTTAATCCAGTCTATCTTTGTTGGACATTTGGGTTGGTTCCAAGTCTTTGCTATTGTGAATAGTGCTGCTATAAACATACGTGTGCATGTGTCTTTATAGCAGCATGATTTATAATCGTTTGGGTATATACCCAGTAATGGGATGGCTGGGTCAAATGGTATTTCTAGTTCTAGATCCCTGAGGAATCGCCACACTGACTTTCACAATGGTTGAACTAGTTTACAGTCCCACCAACAGTGTAAAAGTGTTCCTATTTCTCCACATCCTCTCCAGCACCTGTTGTTTCCTGAAGTTTTTAATGATCGCCATTCTAACTGGTGTGAGATGGTATCTCATTGTGGTTTATATTTGCATTTCTCTGATGGCCAGTGATGATGAGCAATTTTTCATGTGTTTTTTGGCTGCATAAATGTCTTCTTTTGAGAAGTGCCTGTTCACATCCTTTGCCCACTTTTTGATGGGGTTGTTTGTTTTTTTCTTATAAATTTGTTTGAGTTCATTGTAGGTTCTTGATATTAGCCCTTTGTCAGATGAGTAGGTTGCAAAAATGTTCTCCCATTCTGTAGGTTGCCTGTTCACTCTGATAGTGGTTTCTTTTGCTGTGCAGAAGCTCTTTAGTTTAATTAGATCCCATTTGTCAATTTTGGCTTTTGTTGCCATTGCTTTTGGTGTTTTCGACATGAAGTCCTTGCCCATGCCTATGTCCTGAATGGTATTGCCTAGGTTTTCTTCTGGGGTTTTTATGGTTTTGGTCTAACATTTAAGTCTTTAATCCATCTTGAATTATTTTTTTGTATAAGGTGTAAGGAAAGGATCCAGTTTCAGCTTTCTACATATGGCTAGCCAGTTTTCCCAGCACCATTTATTAAATAGGGAATCCTTTCCCCATGGCTTGTTTTTCTCAGGTTTCTCAAAAATCAGATAGTTGTAGATAAGCGGCATTATTTCTGAGGGCTCTGTTCTGTTCCATTGGTCTATATATCTGTTTTGGTACCAGTACCGTGCTGTTTTGGTTACTGTAGCCTGGTAGTATAGTTTGAAGTCAGGTAGCGTGATTCCTCCAGCTTTGTTCTT
Organism: Homo sapiens; assembly: GCF_000001405.40. Lineage (NCBI taxonomy): Eukaryota > Metazoa > Chordata > Mammalia > Primates > Hominidae > Homo > Homo sapiens. The sequence continues at coordinate 30,678,492 of NC_000011.10, read as the reverse complement.
TTGGCTTAGAATTGACTTGGCAATATGGGCTCTTTTTTGGTTCCATATGAACTTTAAAGTAGTTTTTTCCAATTCTGTGAAGAAAGTCATTGGTAGCTTGATGGGGATGGCATTGAATCTATAAATTACCTTGGGCAGTATGGCCATTTTCACGATATTGATTCTTCCTACCCATGAGCATGGAATGTTCTTCCATTTGTTTGTATCCTCTTTTATTTCCTTGAGCAGTGGTTTGTAGTTCTCCTTGAAGAGGTCCTTCACATCCCTTGTAAGTTGGATTCCTAGGTATTTTATTCTCTTTGAAGCAATTGTGAATGGGAGTTCACTCATGATTTGGCTCTCTGTTTGTCTGTTATTGGTGTAAAAGAATGCTTGTGATTTTTGCACATTGATTTTGTATCCTGAGACTTTGCTGAAGTTGCTTATCAGTTTAAGGAGATTTTGGGCTGAGACTTTGGGGTTTTCTAGACATACAATCATGTCATCTGCAAACAGGGACAATTTGACTTCCTCTTTTCCTAATTGAATGCCCTTTATTCCCTTCTTCTGCCTGATTGCCCTGGCCAGAACTTCCAACACTATGTTGAATAGGAGTGGTGAGAGAGGGCATCCCTGTCTTATGCCCGTTTTGAAAAGGAATGCTTCCAGTTTTTGTCCATTCAGTATGATATTGGCTGTGGGTTTGTCACAGATAGCTCTTATTATTTTGAGATATGTCCCATCAATACCTAATTGGTTGAGAGTTTTTAGCATGAAGGGTTGTTGAATTTTGTCAAAGGCCTTTTCTGCATCTATTGAGATAATCATGTGGTTTTTGTCTTTGGTTCTGTTTATATGCTGGATTATGTTTATTGATTTTTGTACGTTGAACCAGCCTTGCATCCCAGGGATGAAGCCCACTTGATCATGGTGGATAAGCTTTTTGATGTGTTGCTGGATTCGGTTTGTCAGTATTTTATTGAGGATTTTTGCATCAATGTTCATCAAGGATATTGGTCTAAAATTCCCTTTTTTTGTTATGTCTCTGCCAGGCTTTGGTGTCAGGATGATGCTGGCCTCATAAAATGAGTTAGGGAGGATTCCCTCTTTTTCTGTTGATTGGAATAATTTCAGAAGGAATGGTACCAGCTCCTCATTGTACCTCTGGTAGAATTCGGCTGTGAATCCATCTGGTTCTGGACTTTTTCTGGTTGGTAAGCTATTAATTATTGCCTCAATTTCAGAGCCTGTTATTGGTCTATTCAGAGATTCAACTTCTTCCTGGTTTAGACTTGGGAGAGTGTACGTGTCGAGGAATTTATCCATTTCTTCTAGATTTTCTAGTTTATTTGTGTAGAGGTGTTTATAGCATTCTCTGATGGTAGTTTGTATTTCTGTGGGATCGGTGGTGATATCCCCTTTGTCATTTCTTATTGCATCTATTTGATTCTTCTCTCTTTTCTTCTTTATTAGGCTTGCTAGTGGTCTATCAATTTTGTTGATCTTTTCAAAAAACCAGTCCTGGATTCATTGATTTTTTGAAGGGTTTTTTGTGTCTCTATTTCCTTCAGTTCCGCTCTGATCTTAGTTATTTCTTGCCTTCTGCTAGCTTTTGAATGTGTTTTCTCTTGTTTCTTTAGTTCTTTTAATTCTGATGTTAGGATGTCAATTTTAGACCTTTCCTGCTTTCTCTTGTGGGCATTTAGTGCTATACTGGTAGTATAGTTTGAAGTCAGGTAGTGTGATGCCTCCAGCTTTGTTCTTTTGGCTTAGGATTGACTTGGCAATATGGGCTCTTTTTTGGTTCCTTATGAACTTTAAAGTAGTTTTTTCCGATTCTGTGAAGAAAGTCATTGATAGCTTGATGGGGATGGCATTGAATCTGTAAATTACCTTGGGCAGTATGGCCATTCCTCTACACACTGCTTTGAATGTGTCCCACAGATTCTGGTATGTTGTGTCTTTGTTCTCGTTTGTTTCAAAGAACGTCTTTATTTCTGCCTTCATTTCGTTATGTACCCAGTAGTCATTCAGGAGCAGGTTGTTCAGTTTCCATGTAGTTGAGCGCCTTTGAGTGAGTTTCTTAATCCTGAGTTCTAGTTTGATTGCACTGTGGTCTGAGAGACAGTTTGTTATAATTTCTGTTCTTTTACATTTGCTGAGGAGTGCTTTACATCCAACTATGTGGTCAATTTTGGAATAGGTGTGGTGTGGTGCTGAAAAAAATGTCTATTCTGTTGATTTTGGGTGGAGAGTTCTGTAGATGTCTATTAGGTCCACTTGGTGCAGAGCTGAGTTCAATTCCTGGATATCCTTGTTAACTTTCTGTCTCGTTGATCTGTCTAATGTTGACAGTGGGGTGTTAAAGTCTCCCATTATTATTGTGTGGGAGTCTAAGTCTCTTTGTAGGTCACTAAGGACTTGCTTTATGAATCTGGGTGCTCCTGTATTGGGTGCATATATATTTAGGATAGTTAGTAGTTCTCCTTGTTGAATTGATCCCTTTACCATTATGTAATGGCCTTCTTTTCTCTTTTGAACTGTGTTGGTTTAAAGTCTGTTTTATCCAAGACTAGGATTGCAACCCCTGCCTTTTTTGTTTTCCATTTGCCTGGTAGATCTTCCTCCATCCCTTTATTTTGAGCCTATGTGTGTCTCTGCACGTGAGATGGGTTTCCTGAATACAGCACACTGATGGGTCTTGACTCTATATCCAATTTGCCAGTCTGTGCCTTTTAATTGGAGCATTTAGCCCATTTACATTTAAGGTTAGTATTGTTATGTGTGAATTTGATCCTGTCATTATGATGTTAGCTGGTTATTTTGCTTGTTAGTTGATGCAGTTTCTTCCTAGCCTTGATGGTCTTTACAATTTGGCATGTTTTTGCAGTGGCTGGTACCAGTTGTTCCTTTCCATGTTTAGTGCTTCCTTCAGGAGCTCTTTTAGGGCAGGCCTGGTGGTGACAAAATCTCTCAGCATTTGCTTGTCTGTAAAGTATTTTATTTCTCCTTCACTTATGAAGCTTAGTTTGGCTGGATATGAAATTCTGTATTGAAAATTCTTTTCTTTAAGAATGTTGAATATTGGCCCCCACTCTCTTCTGGCTTGTAGAGTTTCTGCCAAGAGATCAGCTGTTAGTCTGATGGGCTTCCCTTTGTGGGTAACCCCACCTTTCTCTCTGGCTGCCCTTAACATTTTTTCCTTCATTTCAACTTTGGTGAATCTGACAATTATGTGTCTTGGAGTTGCTCTTCTCGAGGAGTATCTTTGTGGTGTTCTCTGTATTTCCTGAATTTGAATGTTGGCCTGCCTTCCTAGATTGGAGAACTTCTCCTGGATAATATCCTGCAGAATGTTTTCCAACTTGGTTCCAGCCTCCCCGTCACTTTCAGGTACACCAATGAGACGTAGATTTGGTCTTTTCACATAGTCCCACATTTCTTGGAGGCTTTGTTTGTTTCTTTTTATTCTTTTTTCTCTAAACTTCTCTTCACGCTTCATTTCATTCATTTCGTCTTCCATCGCTGATACCCTTTCTTCCAGTTGATTGCATCGGTTACTGAGGCTTGTGCATTCATCATGTAGTCCTCGTGCCATGGTTTTCAGCTCCATCAGGTCCTTTAAGGACTTCTCTGCATTGATTATTCTAGTTATCCATTCATCTATTTTTTTTTTCAAAGTTTTTAACTTCTTCGCCATTGGTTTGAACTTCCTCCTTTAGCTCGGAGTAGTTTGATCTTCTGAAGCCATCCTCTCTCAACTCGTCAAAGTCATTCTCCATCCAGCTTTGTTCCGTTGCTGGTGAGGAGCTGCATTCCTTTGGAAGAGGAGAGGTGCTCTGATTTTTAGAGTTTCCAGTTTTTCTGCTCTGTTTTTTTCCCATCTTTGTGGTTTTATCTACCTTTGGTCTTCGATGATGGTGATGTACAGCTGGGTTTTTGGTGTGGATGTCCTTTCTGTTTGTTAGTTGTCCTTCTAACAGTCAGGACCCTCAGCTGCAGGTCTGTTGGAGTTTACTGGAGGTCCACTCCAGACCCTGCTTGCCTGGGTATCAGCAGTGGTGGCAGCAGAACAGCGGATATTGGTGAACCGCAGATGCTGCTGCCTGATCATTCCTCTGGAAGTTTTGTCTCAGAGGAGTACCCAGCTGTGTGAGGTGTCAGTCCGCCCCTACTGGGGGATGCCTCCTAGTTAGGCTACTCGGGGGTCAGGGACCCACTTGAGGAGGCAGTCTGTCCATTTTCAGATCTCAAGCTGCATGCTGGGAGAACCACTACTCTCTTCAAAGCTGTCAGAGAGGGACATTTAAGTCTGCAAAGGTTACTGCTCTCTTTTTGTTAGTCTGTGCCCTGCCCCCAGAGGTGGAGCCTACAGAGGCAGGCAGGCCTCCTTGAGCTGTGGTGAGCTCCACCCAGTTTGAGCTTCCCGGCTACTTTGTTTACCTACTCAAGCCTGAGCAATGGCGGGCACCCCTCCCCCAGCTACCGCCTTGCAATTTGATCTCAGAGTGCTGTACTAGCAATGAGCGAGGCTCCGTGGGCATAGGACTCTCCGAGCCAGGTGCGGGATATAATCTCCTGTTGTGCTGTTTGTGAAGCCCATTGGAAAAATGCAGTATTAGGGTGGGAGTGACCCAATTTTCCAGGTTCCATCTGTCATCCCTTTCTTTGACTAGGAAAGGGAATTCCCTGACCCCTTGTGCTTCCCAGGTGAGGCGATGCCTCACCCTGCTTCGGCTCATGCACCGTGTACTGCACCCACTGTCCCGTACCCACTGTCTGGCACTCCCCAGTGAGATGAACCCGGTACCTCAGTTGGAAATGCAGAAGTTACCCGGCTTCTGCATCACTCATGCTGGGAGCTATAGACTGGAGCTGTTCCTATTCGGCCATCTTGGCTCCAACCCCCCAAGAATTTTCTTAAAATTTACAGTTTTTAATGTTATGAATCTATCAGTCAATCTTATGCAGAAGTTTTTAAGTACACACTTTTTTTCTCATAAAATTTTTCTTTCTTCAATATAATCAATGAAGACAAATTAGAAAACTTCTGACATTGAGAATGGTTGCTCGCTGGCCCTACCTTACCAGTGGCTTTTACATTTTTAGTCTTTTAATAGTAGGCTTGGAATTTACTATTTGACATAGGACAATCCACACTTCTGCACTCTGGAAGATTTTACATAGGAAAACTTTGAAATTGTCCTTCCACCCAATGAAAGAGCATCTGTTATCAATTAAATGTGGAAAGGTAAACTCTTTTGCATTAAAACTAGTTCTAGTGCTCCAGTCTGTGTAAAAACTACTACCAAACACATAATGGCTACTGAATGAACTATGTACATAAATTCAACATCTTATAAAAAATGTAAAATACAATACATAATAAAATTCACATTTATTTAGTAATCTGGTATATGATATAGTAATGTGGTATGGTAAAATACTCATCTAATTTGAAGTTAAAGACCTGGGTTCAAGCCCCAGCTTCAAATGACTCAGGTCAAAACATTTAACTTCTTTGAGATTCAGTTTTCTTTATTTCACAACTGGAAAAATGATAATAATAATAGCTCATAAATTTGGTAAGAGTACTCTGTATAGAATAAACTGTAAACCCTTATGCAGACATTTCACCTATATGTCACATTGCATAAATAAATTATAATTGTCTTTATTAAAGAGCTATAAATTTTTTGAATGTGGCAAAAATGCTGGGATAAATAGTTCTATGTCTCTTTTGACTATTTATATTATTATTTCTGCCATTTACAGGAATTTAGTAAGAAAAACAATTATCATTGCTTACTTGACTTAGTAAATTAGCATGTGTCTCATCTCCACTGTCTGCTTAACACTACACCTGGCACATACGGGGTGTTCAACAAATGTAAATGTTTCCTAAATGTTGACAACTGTTATAAAATTCCAGTGGAATACCTAGGAAATTTTAGTAACGGGAATAAAGATTAGAAAGCTATGGAAAATAAATTAATGAAGACAGGTAGAAAATCTGAGCAAAAAGATAAATATCAAGGCATTCATATGAATTGGTGGGAAGAGGGAGTCACTATTTCCTAGAGGACACCCTGGGGAAGCCTACTTATCCTCAGCCAGGAGTTGTCTGGTTCTGGTTTGCGCAGGCGTCTCTGGGCAGCTGTTTAGCAGATCCTCACTCACTGACTTGCTTCTTTCTCTCTGTCCTGTTGAACTGTCATCTTTCTAGTTCCTCCTGACTTCTATCTTCTTTTCACTGCCTTGCTCTTACCTGCCCTTCCTCTCCCCTTCTTTCATTGTTTATGAGTATATGCACATTTGCACCTCTGTGTGTTGTATAGAAACACACATACACGCATACAATCCATATTCAAAATGAAAATCATTGAATTCAATCAAAACGGTATTTTAAATAACTGGCTGATATAATAAAATAATATCGTGTATCTATTAACTGGAGGATCTTTTTTGTTTTGCTTTGTTTTTTTTTTTTATTTCTGGACACTTCTCCTATCCAAGCAGCAGCTAGGGCATTCCAAACTTTCTGACTTAGGGGAGGAAAATACAGCTAAAAAGGATTTTGCAGGGGTCTTGGCATAGTTAGTATATCTGAAAGAGTATGTAACTGGTCAGAGTTATTGTTTTTCCCCAGTCCAGAGTTGACAAAAATGGGTCTCAGTGAGCTAAAATCAAGGTATGGGCAGAATTACATTCCTTTCTGGAGGTTCTAGGGGACAATTTGTTTTCTTGCCTTCTCCAGCTTCTAGTGGTTTCCATATTTCTTTGCTCATGTAGTCCTCTTTCCATCTTCAAAGTCAACCATAACCAGCCAAGTCTTTCTCACACTGAATCACTGTACCATTGACTTTTCTGCTTCCCTCTTCCACTGTTAAGTGCCTTTGTGATTACATGAGGCCCACTGGATAATCCAGGATGATCTTCCTGTTTTAAGGTCAAGTGATTAAATACCTTAATTCTATGTGCAACTTTAATTTCCTTCTGCCATGAAGCATAGCATATTCACAGATTCTAGGGATCAGGACATAGGCATCTTCAGGAGGTCATTATTCTTACTACCACAGCTGTATGTGATGCCTGGCACAACGTCACAGAATGCCCAAGGCATCACAGGGAATAAGAAAATGTTTTTCCTCATGAAGTTGAGAATAGCAGAGCCAGGGCATGAAATATTGAAGGACCCAGAGAGTTTATACTATCAAACTCAGGAAAATACAGCAGGAGATTTATACAGTGTACCAGCGGGTAAGAATGAAAAACTAGGTACCAGGGACTCCTATGTACATGTCAGCAGCTGCCAGCATGGAAATGTGACATCCAAGCACAAGACATCCTCTTTTCTCCTGACCCCAGTGACTTTGTGATATTTAACGCCTTTCCTTTCCCCCGATAAACTTAGATATAACATCAAGGAGAAAAGGAAACAGGAAACACCAAATCAACTGAGTTTCCCTGGAACTGACTAACACTAATTTTCCAATATCAGTAGTTGGGGGCCACACATAAAAATTAGGTATATTTATACAAAAAATATCTGATATTTATATTTAACGCACATTAAGCTCTCACACTTTTTAAAAACAAACTAGCAAGAGCAGCTTTTTTCTCTAAACCCATTGGGAGTGTATGATCTCTCCTGTGCTTATATTTCCCACATTCATACTTCAGAGACAGAAGGGGAGGGTGATAGACCCCAGATCAGAGCCATGTCCCATGAAGTCATCATTTCCTTATCCCTTTCATTTCCACATGGAGGAGTTTCCCAAGCATATATTTTTACCTTAAGAATATATTTCTACTTCTAATCCACTTAGGTTATCTTTGAATGTAAAGCAGAGACTCCCATCAGAAAATTCTTCAAAATCCCTGCCATTCCTAAGGCTCACATGAAAGAACATCTATATAGGGCCCTATTTTGCCATTGATGTGAAATTTTACCCTAACAAATATCAAGGGAGACAATAATAATGGATACCAAAGATTTCTGCTAGGTGCTTTATACATTATCTCTAATTCCCACAATTCTTCAAAATAAATATTATTATCCCCAATTACATACGAGAAAATTGATATCCTAATTTCCCAAGGTGCACTTTCCCAAAGTACATCAGCCTAAGTCCCCCTAAAGCAAAGCCTGACACACAAGGTTTGTGTGCAAGTAGTTCATTTGGGATGTGATCCAGGGAGCAGGACAAAGGGAAAGGAACCAGGAAGAAGGAAAAGCCAGTACATGGATGCATTATAAAGCTGCCCACTTCTGAAGGTGACAGAGCTTCATCCCTTCTTAGGAGGCTTGTGATATGTGGCACATAACTGTGCACCTGGGTTAGAAAAGGGAGAAGCATTGATCTTTAGTCTTCTACCTCTGACTGGTCAAGGTGGCCCCACAGCTGCTTACTCCCTTGCACGTTGAGATTTGCATGTACAAATGCCAAAAGTGTTCCCATGGGCACCCCATGTCTAAACCCTAGGGTAGGAAGCTAGAAATATGAGTGGAGTCAGGCAGACACTGACCTATTTGATCTGTGCAAAGCTGGTTGAAGCCTGTGCAGAAATGGCCAGGACGGCAGTGGCTGTAGCAAAAGGTGGGGCTAGGAAGACATACAGTGATACACAGAATTGGCTAATGCCCGAGGTCATATGACTATTCAATACTTCAAATCAAGCCTGCCTAACTGCAAGGCCTAGATGCCTTCCATAATTCACATTGGTTTCCAAGAAGGTGTCTGGCTTTGTGGAACTTAAGGATGAGTTTATTGTCCTCAGCAATTAGATGAGGATCTGGTATTGATTTTACACTATATCAGAATTGGAGCATTATACAAGCTCTCTTTGTGTATCTGAAGGTGTGAATTCTTCCCTCATTAACCTCCAAAATGGGTTTCAAAATAAATATGCTAAATATAGGACTGTAGAACAGCACTATCAAGCAGAAAAATACTGTGAGCTCCATGGGCAATTTTCACTTCTTTAGTATTCACATTAAAAATGGAAAAATAAGTAAGTGAAATTAATTTTAATAATCTATTTTATTTGACTCACTGTTTCTAAAGTATTATCTATCATTTCAACATGTAACCAATACAAATGATTGAGATATTTTATGTTCTTTTTTTTTATAAGTCTTCAAAATATGGTGTGTATTTTGCACTTTTGAGCACATATCAGTTCAGATTAGCTGTATTTCAATAGCCCTGTGAGGCTAATGTTACCATCTTGGAGAGTGCAGTCCTAGGATATTTTCCTCTTATGAACTGAAGGAGTTAATATGTGAAAGGTAATACTATTGCACTTTTCCTTGGGATGAGATGGAGTAGGGGAGGATTTTTATACACTCTCCTGACATTATGACTTCAGTCTATATTATTTCTTTCTGAAATAAACAAAATGTCAAATTGACAAGGTTCATGGTCAGAAGTGATTAGAACAGTGATTTGAAGACAAAACCAAGCCATACATGAATCTAATATTTCAAGGTTTATTTCCCATGTCCACTTGTCTTCAAACTGCAGGACAAGTGATTTTTAACTTAGAAAAAAAGAAGAAAGTTTTACACATTTGTGCTTAAACCACAGGGTAAGCAATTTAAGATAGTGATTCTAAAATTGAGTTACAAACAAGGTATCCTATGCAACCTGAATTATCATATGTAAATCTGTTTGCCTTTACTCCTCTAAAAAGCTATATTTTTATTTTCATGGATTTTCATTTCACATAAAGCACATATGTAATTTACATAAAGTTCAATAAAACATTTGGCAGGTATAGGTATTACAACACAGTGGTTAAGAGCATAGCATTTAGAGATGGATCTAGGTTCAAGTCCCCAGCTTTACAACCTACTGTGAGTAACTTCGAGCCAGTTACTTAACTTCTTAAGCCTCAGTTTTATCTTCTCCAAAATGGGAATAACAATTTTTATCTTGCAGGGTTATGGTAAGAATTAAATAAGATCGGATATGTGGGAAACTTGGCACAGTGTCTGGCACATGGTTAGTAGTCAACATATGGTAGCTTTTACTATGAGTGAAAAAAATCTAACAATAAGACAGACTTCAAAGTATATACCTTGCCTCCAACATTTCTCATAGTCTATTGGTTAAGAAACCCATGAATAGAACCACAAATTACTGTGAGTACCACTAAACCTTATGGTGTTAAGAAATTTAGCAATAAAAGGGGATTTTTTTCCACTCAATGCTGTGAAAATTGTTCATAAAAATCCACAGGGTCAAAGCAATCTCTCTGGGAAGGTGATGTGTGTGTGTGTGTGTGTGTGTGTGTGTGTGTTGTGTGTGTGTGTGTTTTCTGTTCTTTTGTTTCTTAATCCCCATACTGTGGTCTGATTCCCATAGCAAGTGAAATTAGCACTTTAATTTCCATATTATCTCCTTTATATTACAGATGAATAATGTGCAGGAATAAAGAGGAAGATCTTAGGGGGAATTACCAAAGATGAAAAAAAGTATTATGCTTCATTCTGAACAGGTTTTATATCCCACACTGACTTATCACTGGCATAGGAAAATAAGTCTCCATCCATTCAGCACAGAGAAAAATTGGAGAAGTTATCCCTTTGAGAGACATGAGTCTCCTGAGATAAATCTCCTGCATTACTTGTTCCATGTCCTCTATTCACTACCCACTTAAAGCTAAGTGCTTTAGGTACACTTGTTTCTGAATAAAAAAAATCTATAGATTGCACAGTTTTAATAATAATAACTATGATGATGGTAATAGTTAAAATTTATCAAATGCTGCCTGTGGGCCAGGTGCTAAACACTTCACATGCGTTAACGCATTTATTCAACTCTATGAAGTTTCTCACAGATACACAAACTGAAGAACAGTTTAATTACTTGCCCAATTTTAGTAAGTGGTAGAGCCAGGATTCCAGCAGAGACATTTGACACTAATGTCCACATCCAGTAACACTGCACAAGTCACAAAGGAGACCCAACACATGTATAATCTACCTACAAGTTCTGCTGGCTCTACTTTCAAAACATGTTTCCAACCCATTCATTTTTCTCCATCTCACCACCATCACCCTAGTCTAGGCCACTATCGTCCCTTCTCTGGAGAATGACAATGGTTCCAAATGGTCTATCTGCTTCCATTCTTATCCTCCAGCAACCCATGTTCCATGCAGCAGCCAAGTGAACATTTTAGAATATAAATCAGACTTTACTCTGATTTTGCTCCAATGCATAAATCCTTCCACTGGCTTCTCCATTCCTCTTAAAATAAATCCAAAGTCCTCACCATGGTCTTTCAAACTCTGGTAACTCTTGGCCACCTCAGCTCATCTCTTCCTACTCTCCTCACTCATCACATTATTCTTCTTTCTTTTCGTGGGTGAATCTGCTGTTCCCTGTTTGGCATACTCATCCCTTACATCTTCATGTAGCTGCATACTTCTTGTCATGCAGGCCAAAAACTCGATTGTCACCTCCTGAGAGAGGACTTTTCTCACCACCCAAGCTAAAGCCACCCACTCCCTTCCTACTTCCCCATTTGCTCTCATGACTCCCTGTTTTAGTCTCTTCATAACACTTATCTCTATACAAAATTTTTCATCATTTATTTCTTAACTTCTTTGTTTTCTGCTTCCCCTCCATCACTAGCAGAATGCAAAATTCCAAAAAGCAGAGATCTTGCCTGTCATATTCACTGCTGTATCTGCCGGACCTAGAACATGGCCTGGCACATAACAGGCATTTACTCTAAATATATGAATAAATTACTTAATTAATGACATGACCAAAAACCAGTCTCCTTTAAGCACTTGGTTCTCTGGAATCTTCTCATGAATATTCACAAGGTAGTGAGAAATGGGCTATAATGGGAATATAGACCCAGAAGTTATAAATGATTAACTCCAAAATGAAACACGGAACCAGGCAAAATGTGGTATGTATTGTTGACACTTTTTCCATGCCTCCTGTTGTATCTCTGTCTGCTTTATGATTTTTGTTCATTTCTTATTTACTTCTCTCGAAGAAAGAATTTTGAGAGCTTATATACGGGTATTCTGCTGGGTTCTTAACTACATAAATAAATAAGGAATTCTAGGGAGGACTCTATGTTCACACGAATAGTAATAAAACAAATGCCCTCTTTGTGGTCTGTGAAAAGGGTTTCTGAACAATGAGACATTAAGTTATCATTAAGTACAATCTACAGATTTTTAATAGCAAGGGAAAACAATTATATAGGCTTTTGAGAAAAATATGGCCTATCTCAAATATTTAAAATATGCAATAAGATTACTAATAGTAATTTAGTGCTAATAGTAATAATAGCTTCTATTAGTAATTTAGTAAATTAACCAAATTATTAACAGTAATTTTAATGAAGAAAATCACTAATAGTATTTGCTTCCTGTTAGGGGAATTACACATTTTCTCCCCCTCCTTCTCCCCCTTCTCCTTCTTC